>NC_000023.11:36948905-37099262 GCF_000001405.40 Homo sapiens
GCTAGAAAGTCCAGTTCTAACACCATTGTGTTGTTGCCACATGGAGTCATAGTTGAACTCTCTGGTTCTGTGAGATCTAATGTTACTTGTTCCAAACTGAGGTGAGTTCTTTGGTGGTTTGGATACTTTATGAGACACAAGGATACCCTGGTCTAGGGCTTCAACTTTACCATTGTGTATTTATGTGTCTGTGTGTTTAACTTCCCACTCAAACTATCAGCCCTTGTTCTTCCAAGTGAAATGAGACCTCCTGGGAGTACGGGCATATTTCCAAAAACTTTGTGACATATGCCAATGATATTTCCTTTGAACAAGAGTCCACTGATGAAAGTGCCATAATAGCTTTCATGAATAAATGACAATCTACTTTTTAAAATTTTAGAACAGCTTTAGGTTTCAGCAAAATTGAGCAGAAAAAAATAGAGTTCCATATACTCCCTGCCCCTACATTTGCATAGCCTACTCCATTTTCAACATCCCCCACCAGAGAGGTACATTTACTATAACTGATAAACCCACACTGACACATTATTATCACCTAAAGTCCATAGTTTACATGAGAGTTCACTCTTGGTGTTTGATATACTTTGGATGTTTGTTCCCTCCAAATCTCATATTGAAATGTAATCTCCAAAGTTGTAGGTGGGGTCTGGTGGGAGGTGTTTGAGTCATGAGAGCGGGTCTCTCATGAATGGCTTGGTATCCGCCCCCGCCCCCCCCCCGCCCCCCCGCAGTAATGAATTCGCAAGAGATCTGGTTGTTTAAAACAGCTTTAGCACCTCTGCACTTCTCTCACTCCCTCTCTCACCATATGATGCGCTGGCTCCCTTTCACCTTCCACCATGACTGTAAGCTTTCTGAATCCCTCACCAGAAGCAGATGCCCATACTATGTTTTGGGTAGAGCATAAAAACCATAGGCCAAATAAACCTCTTTTCTTTATAAATTACTCAGTCTCAGGTATCCATTATAGCAACAAAAACAGACTAATACAGTGTTGTACATTTTATGGGTTTGGGAAAATGTTTAATGAATGACATGTATCCATCATTATAGTACCATACAAAGTAGTTTCACTGCCCTAAAAAAACTCCTCTGTGTTCCACCTATTCATCCCTCCCCAATCCCAACCCCTGGCAGCCAATGAAACTTTTACAATCTCCATAGTTTTGCCTTTTCCAGAATGTCATAAAGTTGGAATCATTCAGTATGTAGCTTCTCAGAATTGGCTTTCACTTAGTAATATGCATTTAAGTTTCCTCTGTGTATTTTCATGGCTTGATAGCGCATTTTTTGATAGCACTGGATAATAAATAGTCCATTGTCAGGATGTACCAATTCATTTAACCATCCACCTTCTGAAGGATATCTTGGTTGCTTCCAAGTTTTGCCAATTATGAATAAAGCTATAAACATTCAACTGCCAGTTTTTGTGTGGACATAAGTTTTCAACTTATTTGTGTAAACACCAAGGAGAGTCATTGCTGGATCATATGGTAGGAGTATGTTTAGTTTTGTAAGGAACTGCCGAAGTGTCTTCAAAATTGGATGTACTACTTTGCATTACCATCAGCAAAAAAACAAGAGCTCTTGTTGCTGCACATCCTTGCCAGTATTTGTTGTTGTCATTGTTCTGGGTTTGGTTTAATCTGAAAGAGAATGGAACCTGGGCCCCAGTCCAGAAAGCACAGAATCTTAGCCACTAGGCCACAGGGCGAGGTGCTCTTTTGTCAATGCTGCAGGGAATAGAAGCAGGCAGTTTAAGCATTTTAAAGGATTTTAACTTGTTTCAGGGGTGAGCTCAATTGGAAGGTTGTTTAGCTAATTACCTAGATGTTACCATTTCAAAGACAGGATCAGATTTACATCTCCAAAGGACTGTGAAGTCCAGCAGGACATTTAAAGGGTATTCTCTGATATTGGGTCAATAAATCATCCATGTCATTTATTAGTTATGGTTTAGAAGAAAAACTTTGTTGGATCTGTATTTTATAATCTCAGTAGTTTTCTTCTCATTCTGTAGTTGTTCCATTTGTTTTCTCTCCTCCAAATTTAAAGACGTTTACCCTCTTTTGAGAGAAAAAAAAGTTTGCATTGTGGAATTTCAAAAATCTCTGCCGAAGAGCTTATGGGAGCTGAGGGAACAAGCAGAAAGGGATGAATTCAAATGACAGGGGTACAAGGAGGAGGAGCAGTTGGAGGCAAAATGGAGAAAGTCTCCGAAGTCTTTTTTCATTTGAAATAACTTTAGACAATCTTGATTTCCTCTTGCAAAGAAACTTCTTTATCAAAAACTCTTTTAGAAGCTTCTAAGTAACATTGAAAAATTGCTCTCCCAGTTATTTTGGTTTTATTTTAAAGCCAGCTTTATTTTTATTATTAGAGCATGCAGATAAACTATTTTAAATGTTTCAAAGATATCCTATTTAGGCTGTTGTAGTTAGGGGTCTTTGTGCTTTAAAACCATTTTTCTAGATATTGACAGGAGGTGGCACCATAAGTATTGTACATGAATTCACCTGAAGTTTCTAAAGTTGGATGTCTCCTTTAGAAGTACAAATGCAAATTAGATTTTCCCTTTGAATGACCAAAAAGATCTAGTGGGAGGAATTTTGGTTACTCCAGATGAAAGTGCAGATTTGACCACTGAGCCAAGCTTCAGAATCTGGCCAGTTTTAAAGATTACAAATTTTTCATTTAAGCCACAAAAATTTCATTTTCTCTCTTCAAAGAAAACCTGTTTTCTCCTTGACCAAATTTCAAGTGAGTGAAAAGGTTTCAAACCCTAAGAAATAAGACAAACAAAACCTTTACTGCAGAGAAAAATGAAAACGACAAATATGCAGTCCACAGAATCCATAGAATTAAAGCTCTGCTTTAAAGTAGGAGTTTTCTCAAAGGACTCCTCTTGAGGAAACTCCTACCTTAAAATCAGAGCATCAATTCCAGCTCCATTGAGCATGGAATTGGGTTGCTTGAATAAAGTTTCAATCTCAAACTGAAATCAGGGCAACTGAAAACCTGAGAGGAGCTTTGACAGAGACCCCCATCAGCTGCAACAAGGTCGGGTGAATGAAAAGCATTCCCTCTTGGCATAATTAATTTAGGGAGTCCTGAAATTTTATTTTCTTTTACATGTACAAATATTAGAAGTTTCTTTCTATAAAACCAAGTATTATTAAATCAAATTTAGCCTAAAGCAGCCTCCTTACATATTTTAAGGTCAGCCTAAAAGTTTCTCTGTACATCATGAAGTATAACTTAAATGGGTTGTACATAGACTGTAGCCTACTCTTGTGCCAATCACTGAGTTTTGGCCAATCAACTGTGGCCAACTGTTCAAATCATATTCAAATAAGGCAAACCCTGAGCTGTAACCAATACCAAAATCAAATTTCTACTTCAAAAATAAGTCTTTTTTGACCTCTAACTTTGGGATGCTACAGAGGGCCCTTGAAGCATCCAAAAGAGAGGTAAACAGGATTATTTGACATGTTAAGTTACATGCAAAGCATTGCCAAATAAGAAATAATGTTTAACTTTCTTCAGCCTATATTTTAATGAATGTTATTAATATATGTTCAAAAATTGTATGGAATTCCTAAAATTCTAATATGTCTGAGTATATGCTATCAATCATAATTATGGGTAAGTTACTGTAGACCACAGAAATAACCACATTTCCTTGTCAATTGTGTCTTTAACTGTGACTATTTAAAGCCATTTCCATAGTTAACTGCTTGATTCTGATGCAGTTTCTGAAAACTTCACAAGCATGCAACATCCAAGAATACGATGTCTTTAAGGAGGTTCAGGAAAGGATGGAAAGGACCCTGAGAAGCACTCCTTAGTACAGGTTTCTAATCACTTTAGAATCATATCATTTGGACTGGGTAAGAATTCCCAGAACTTTAATGAAGAGACTGACTAGTATATAAAACTGCTCACCCAAGCAGAACAAAAATTAATATCAAGAAAATATTTTGCAGGTTTCCATGCTAAATCTGCCAGTATTGAAAATGTTTAGATATACAATTTGAATGAACTCCATAGTCTAAGTAAAATTACCTATGATAACCCATCAGTTATCAGTGCTATGCACCTAAATTGGAGAAACAACTGTTATTCAAGAAGACACAAGTCTATTGTTAAGCATAGACTCATGGAAAACCAGGATGGCTATCTTGTCCTTCTTAAGTCCTTAAAGCTATGGTTATTAAAAGTTCTAAATCCAAATTAAATATATATATTGGTATGATGACTTCTAAGTTGCTAAAATAGTTTATGACCAATGTTTGGTTTGTCAAACCCATATTCTTGGGAAGACAAATAAAAATTTCAGGTACATTCTACTATCTGATGGGCTATTTAAACACTTCTAAAGGGATTTCATTCAATTGTCATTTTCAGTGCATGTTTTCTGGTTGTACAAAACGTTCTCATGCAAGAAGGCTAATGTTATAACAGTAGCTCATTATACCAAAGTGTCTCTTCACCAGGTAAAGAAAGATTTTAATGGTTCACTGACTGAGAGCAATTAACCTCTTCACAATATAGAACATGAAGATTAGACCTTCTAAGAATATCATTGAAAGACTACCCTTGCCATCCACACTGCAGCAAAACTTCTGGACCTTGAACCTTGGGTTCATAATCTCACGACTTAGAGGGGTCCCTCCTTACTCTTGGAACTATAAACACATTGGAAACCTTAAGGTAAAGCTAACCAGGGAAGCTTCTCCTCAGAAGAAGGTGGCATCCTTGATGTAGACAGCTTTATCCCAACATCACAGATAAAGACTTCTCTACTATCATGAGACTCTTATCTTTGAATATTTTTCCCTTGCTTATGCCTCTATGAATGATAGAAGTGAAAGGGGGGGTCTATTGTGTGCACTCATGGGGTATAGTTTATTTGTGAAAAATTTTGCAGCCAGCCTTATATATGGATAACCTTATGCCTTGATAGATGGAAGATGAAGGCCTAATGTACTTGAGAAATGTTAATGGTACATACCTTGCCTCACAGTCAGTCAGAAACAGAAAACTGGTCCACTCCTCTTAGCCAATATCATAGGCTAAAAAGAACACTGCCAGGAGGTCTTCACTCTTCTGAAGGGCATTGTTTGTTAAGTCCTTTTTCCCATGGTTTAGAGTAAATGAGGTAATGATTAGAAATTTATTCCTCATGATATGCTTTATAGCAGATTCTACTGTAGAGGCTCTGGTTACATAACAGACTGTAAAGTCTCCTGTGAAAGTTATGCTGAATAATAGAATTGCTCTGGATTAGTAACCGGCTAAACAGATGTATCTATGCAATGCTGGCAATTCTTGTTGCCCATGAAGAAATACATCACATCCAGTATTACAGAGATTCAGTTATATGGTATTAATGAAGAGACTGCTTAAAGTGGGTAGACTCTTCATCTAGCTCATTCTTTGGTCTATTTGATTTTAGTTGGTTTGGTTTATGGGGAACCTGGCTAAGGAGCAGACTCCAAACTCTTGGTGTTATTCTCCTGATAGTCTTAATAGTAGTCTCCCTGGTACACTGTATTCTCTCAAAAGTTTTAAATACTTCCATGCAGCCATCTCTAAAATGTCAGATGGTCTCTCTTTAACTGGAGCGACAAGAGCTGAAAGAAATATGTGACCAAAAAGTCACTGTAACCCACGAATGACATGCTGAGACCAGAAATCCAAAATGATGGTAACTGAGAGTGGCACTAAGGCCCTAAGTTTTGGTCACACTCTCACCATGAGAATCTGACCAAAAGGGGGGAATTTTAAAACAAATTATGGGAGCCCATTGTTTGCCCCAACAGACCAGACCAAACCAAAATGGAGTCATTTATGCTAAATGTGACATAATCAAACTAAGACTTTAAGGAAACACAGAAGATTTTTAGAACAGACCATGTTTTGTTTCTCTCCTGCAGCATAAGAAGGTATTCTCTACTCCAAACCTTACAAAAATAATAATAGTAATAACGTTAAGACCTTGTTTCCACCTTACAAAACCCGCAGTTCTGCTATTTCCCAGTGGGTTTCAAAACCAAGTAAGTACATTTACTATGGTGATAGTGACATCAATGACTAAAGTTTTGGTAAATCTCTCACAATTGAGAGGATGAAAAAATGGGGGAATTGTTAAATCAAGTGCCTAAAGCTACCTCCTTATATATTCTAAGTTCAGCCTAAAGGTTTCTCTGTACATCATGAACTATAACCTAAATGGAGTTATATATAGACTGTAGCCTGCTCTTGTGCCAATCACTGAGTTTTGGCCAATCAACGATGGCCAACTGTTCAAACCATGTTCAAACAAGGCAAATGCCAAACTGTAACTAACCCCGCTGTTTCTGTACCTCACTTCCATTTTCTGTATGTCTTTTCCTTTTTCTGTCCATAAATCTTCTTCTACCATGTGGCTGCACTGGAGTCTCTGAGTCTTCTCTGGCTCAGGAGGCTGCCTGATTTGTAAATCATTCTTTGCTCAATTAAACTCTTAAATTTAATTCAGCTACAGTTTTTCTTTTAACAGTACATATGGTCAAGTAATTTTCTACAAGGCCACTAAGAAGACACAAGGTGGAAAGAGTAGTCTCTCCAATAAATGGTGCTGGGAAAACTGGATATCCACACAAAGAACAATGAAACTGGTCTCTTATCCTACACCATACACAAAAATCAACTCAAAATGGATTAAATACCTAAATATAAGACCTGAAATGTAAAACTCTTTAAAATAAAGAGGATGGGGAAGCTATTTGATATTGGCCTTGGTAGTGACTTTTTGGATATCACACCAAAAGCACAGGCAAAAGCAAAAATAAATAACTAGGACTATATCAAACTAAAAAGCTTCTCCACAGCAAATAAAACCATTAACAAATTGAAAAGGCAGCTAATAGATTGAGAGAAATTATTTGTGAACCATATATCTAATAAGGGGTTAATATCCCAAATATATAAGCAACTAAAAGGAAACTAAAACTATTTTCCTCAAAATATACTTTTTTGGCATATTTTGAAATTCAGGCAAATGTGCCTATTCAGAGGACCTGCAGACAGGAATAGCTCTGAAAAGCTGTCATTTGTGGAGTATATATGCATTGCTACATTAGCAAAATAAATAGCCAGGCTTTCTTTGAGGCCCTACCCCTTATCCAGATCTGGAAATAATTAACTCAACCACAAGCTGCTACCTATTCTTTCTGAGAGCTGTTGCCTTTGAGATTTCATCTACATGACAAGATTGCCTTTACCCCTTGCCTTTATTTCTCTCTCCCTCCCATAATCTTGAAGCATGGTCTTGCCATGCTTTAAGCCCCTATTCTTCTGTTACCTCAAGATGGTATAAAAATGTCAACTATCTGGCCCTGTCTTTGAGATTTTCATATTTTGTATGAGTCCCATGCACACATGTGCATATTAATAAATTTTCTATGTCTTTTCTCCTATTAATCTGCTTTTTGTCAGTTAATTTTCAGTGAACCTTCAGAGGTCAAAGGAGACATTTTTCCTTTTAGCCCCTTCAGAACTCACAAAATTATGTAGCAAAATCATAATATAATTAAAGAATGGGCAAAGGACCTGAATAGACTTTTTCCAAAGAAGGCATAAAAATGGCCAATAACTGTATGAAAAGATGCTCAACTTTATTAATCATCAGATAAATGTGAATCAAAAGCACAATTAAATATCATCTCATACCTGTTAGGATGGATATTATCAAAAAGTCAAGAGATAACAAGGGTTTTCAAGGGTGTGGAGAAGAGGGAACTGTTGTACACTCTTGATGAGAATCTAAATTGGTATCGCTATTATGGAAAACAGTATGGAGGTTCCTCAAAAACTTAAAAATATAACTACCTTAAGATCCAGAAATCCCTCTTCTGTGTGTATACTCAAAAGGTGTCTGTGCTCCCATGATGAGCATTATTCACAGTAGCCAAGATATGGGAACAACCTGAGTGTAGTGTGAGTGGGCAGTTGAATGGATAAATTGTGGTAGATATATAATGGAATATTAACCTTAAAATAAAAGATACTGCCATTTGTAACAACATGGATAAAGATGGAAGACATTTTGCCAAGTGAAATAAGACAGACACAAGAAGAAAAATACTGCCTGATCTTGTATGTGGAATCTTTTTTTAAAAAAAAAAAAAGAGTCAAATACTTAGCGCAAGGAGGAAATGGGGATGTGTAGGTCAAAGGTACAACTTACAGTTACTTGGGTTAAATAAATAAGTCTGAGATCTAATGCACAGCAGGAGGACTATACTTAGCAATATTGTATACTGAAATTTTACTAAGAGTTTATTTTAGATGCTCTTATCACAAACAAAGGTAAATATGGATGGATGGTGATGGATACGTAAAATTGTTTACCTGTGGTAATTATTTCACTATGGATATGTACATCAAAACATCTTGCTGCTCACCTAAAATTAATACAATGAAAACGGAAATGCTCCTGACGGGGCAAGGAGGAGAAAGCTAGGTGACTTGGAGCCAGCGCTGCTGGGTACCTAGCGTCTTCAAGGAACTGCCGCGCGCCGCCAGTCGGGGGCGCGGGCTGGCACCGGGCTCCCTCCGCGGGCCAGGGCCGCGGTAGGGGCGGGATCCGCGCGAGCCTCGGGCCCTGGGAGCAGGAGCCGAAGTCACCGGGTGCTGGCCCTCCGCCCCTCCCTGTTCGGCACCACCTCCCGCAGCCTGGGGAGGGGCTGGGACGGAGCCAGCCCTGTCGAGCGGGGCGGAGCGGGCGCGGGGCCGGCGGCGAAGGTCAGGGGTGGAATCGACGTCGCTGCGGCTGCGGACGACCCCCACCCGGCCGGCGGCCTCCGCAGACCCACCTTGGTCGCGCGGCAGGGGGCGCGCAGAGCCCCGAGGGAGCGAGTCCCAGTGCGTGGGGGCTCGGTGGCTTCTCCCCTCGGGAGGTCGGACTCCTGGCTCCCCGGACCCGCCTGGCGTCCTCGGGCGGCAGCGGCATCCAGGAATGGCTTCGGCGGGCAGCGGCATGGAGGAGGTGCGCGTGTCGGTGTTGACTCCCCTTGAAGCTGGTCGGGCTGTTGTGCATCTTCCTGACGCTGTATCTGGATCTGGGGGCGGTGCTGAGCCCGGCCTGGATCACAGCTGACCACCAGTACTACCTGTCGTTGTGGGAGTCCTGCCGGAAACCCGCCAGCTTGGACATCTGGCACTGCGAGTCCACGCTCAGCAGCGGTGAGGGCCCGGCGCACCGCGACCCCTGCCTCCCGCCCCGGACTGCCTTGCGCCCTACTGCCAGGAGAGTCACCACCTGTCCCCACCTCTCCGCGTCCCCTGCCCTGGCCCGTCCCACCGCGTCCAGGCCCTTCTCGGATCCTGAGGCTCCAACCACCTCCCTGGCGTCCACCCCTCTTCCCTCCCCATCCCTGGCCGCCAAACCTAAAGCGACAGCCCACGTCCTCTCCCTCCCCTGTGGCCATTCCTCCTATTCTGCAGTAACACGTAACGCTATTTTGGGTATTTGTTATCATTTGAGGCGAGAGCCATGTGGCTGTGTAAAAAATGCGACGCCTTCCACACCCCAGTTAAAAAAGAAGCAGGCAAAAACGCCCCAACTCCACCGAGATGCTGCGGGGGTTCTCTGTTGGTCTTCCCCACTCTTTTTTCCCTCCTCTCTCGAGGACGAATTTGCCTAGGTTTACCTCTCAGTGTTCACATTTCTGCCTGTTCCACTCCATCTTATCTGGATTTTCACCAATTAACTCAGATTGGGATTTTATTTCCTTAAACTTTTGGGAGATAGGAAGAGTTGGGAGAGGGAGGGGCTTACTTTCCTTTGTGGTCTTTGGTTGTGAGTTGCCCTCCCATCTCCCCAGTTCAAAGTACCTCTCCTCTCCAGCCAGACCTTTATTTATTTCTCCTTTGCAAGAGCTGCTCACAGATGGCCTAGGACTTTATTGCTTATTCGGCCAGTACTAAAAGCTGCCAATGGATCCCCACTGTGGGAGATCCCAGGACAGAGTTGTCTGACATTGGAGTTTGGAGTGGAAACAAAATGGTATAAAGACATTATTGGAATGATTGTTCAGTTTAAATAGGGATAGTTATTGTATAATTAGATAATATTGTATTAATGTTAAATTTCCTGATTTGCTCATTGACAGTGGTTAAATAAAATAATGTGTTTTCTGGCCAGGCGCGGTGGCTCATGCCTGTAATCCCAGCACTTTGGGAGGCCGAGGCAGGCAGATCACCTGAGGTCAGGAGATCAAGGCCAGCCTGGCCAACATGGCGAAACCCTGTCTCTACTAAAAATACAAAAAATAGCCAGGTGTGGTGTTGGGCGCCTGTAATCCCAGCTACTCAGGAGGCTGAGGCTGGGAGAATCCCTTGAACCCGGGAGGCGGAGTTTGCAGTGAGCTGAGATCACCATTGCACTCCAGCCTGGGCAACAGAGCCAGACTCTGTCTCAAAAAAAAAATATATATATATATATTTATATATATATTTATATATATTTTTATATATATTTATATATATTTATATATATATTTATAAGTATATATATATTCCTTTTTTTAGTCAATACACACTGAAATATTTAGGGGTACAGGGTCACAACATATGCAGCTTACTCTCAAATGGTAGAAAATATGTATATATGGTAGAGAGAAAAAATGATAAATGAGACAATGTTACAAATTGATGAATATGGGTAAAGGACTTTTCTTGTACTATTTTTGTACTATTCTTGCAAATTTTCTGTAAGTTTTAAAGCATTTAAATTTTTAATTAAAAATATTTTTCCCTGGTATAAAGTACTTTTAGCACAATGAATTCAAACAAGTGCTTGCCTTTTCTGTAAAGGAGAATGATAAAGTAGGATGAAAAGTTATTAAGTGTGTGAAAACCGTTAGATTATCTAAAATTTATATTTTTTGAAAACATACAGTGTGAAAAAACAGATTTTATGTTTTAAACATATGAGCCATATTGGACTGTAAACATTCCATGATATTTGATATACATAGTGAACGCTTTCAATAACATTTAGATGACATTTGCAAATAATACTTTATTCTATTTAGAGTATATAATAGCTCATGATTGGTCTAGGAAGATGAATACTTTAAGACAAAGCCAGTATATTAAAACACACACATATATGCATGTTCAACCACACACTCACAGAAAATTGTGTGAAGCCCTCCCTATTAGAGTGAGACACAAGATGTATTTGTCTTCTAGCATATGTGACATCACTTGTGTAGCATCTAGTGTTATTTTTGTGCTGCCCTGGACTGGATCTTTATATAATGGCTACCTCTGGTAATGCAATTTCCAGCTGTGGAGCAGTTCTATGGAATTTTCACCCCCACCTTGTGCTTTCCTATCCATGCTCTCTTTGAATAGCATGTAGTCTAGAGTAAAGAATGGTGAGCCAGGTGCAGTGGCTCATGCCTGTAATCCCAACACTTTGGGAGGCCAAGGCATGTGGATCACCTGAGGACAGGAGTTCGGGACCAGCCTGGCCAACATGGTGAAACCCTGTCTCTACTAAAAATACAAAAATTAGCCGGGCGTGGTGGCAGGTGCCTGTAATCCCAGCTACTCGGGAGGCTGAGGCAGGAGAATCACTTGAACCCGGGAGGCGGAGGTTGCAGTGAGCCAAGATCATGCCATCGCACTCCAGCCTGCAGGACAAGAGCGAGACTTTGTCTCAAAAAAAAAAAAAAAAATGGTGAAGAAGAGTATTCTCTCAGAGTGGGAAGGGAAGTCCAGATATGTCTTTTCTTTTGTATGAGAAGTAAAACCTTTTAAAATACTATCAGCATCTATTAACTTCCTCCATACTTTGTCTCTCATTAGGCAAAGCAATGATGTTATCTATAACCTTCTAGAACAAAACTGTGTGAATCAAATCCTTCCCCCTGGCCAAGGAGATAAATCCTAGCTCAGCAGCGTCCTATGGAAATGGGGCTCTCAAAGACAGTACAGCACACAGGAAAGTGAGCCTAGCTCTCCAACCAACATAATATTATTAGTTAAAAGCATATTTCAGAGTTCCTAACAGGGTAATTTTTGTTTGTTTGTTTTTGTTTAAAATGCCCATGCGTATTTTATTAATAAAAACTAACAGTGCCAAGTTAAACAAGTCAAACAATTAAAGTTTCTTTATATTCCATAAAATATTACAGAAAAGTTTATTTGTGTTTCAATAAAAAGACTTTCGCTTTAGAACAGGCAGCTAATAGCAACTGTGCAGTTAATGGGTTTTGTGAATAAATTTTAAAAGAGACTACTGCCTGTCCTTAAATTCCTTGTTCTTTTTATTAAAAAAAAAAGAACTATTAAAAATGATTGACAAATTTTGAGTTAAAAAATTGTTAAAACATTCTTTATATTTAATTTCAATTTTATAATAGATTACAGGAAGATGCTTATGAAACAAATACATTTGTTTCAGTATATGTCTTTAAATGATAGACTGATAAGTATGTAAACAACTATATAATAAAAGGTTTCCAAACGCTGCCTGTAAGAAATCAGGCAAATTTTACCATAAGCAATAAACCATTCCAAGCCTTCCAAACAGTCTCCATAGCCACACCAGCGTGGCAGTAAGCTTTAACCAAACAAAAACAAACAAACAAACAAAAGCACTTTGCAATTTGTTGCTGCAAAATAGGGAGAGAAAAGAGTGTATAAACTTGATGGAATCACGACAGTCAATATAATTTAAGAGAAAATAAAGTTAATAAGGTTGATGGTGTTTATTGTTTAAAATGTCGAATTCTGCTGTTTGCTTGGGGCTCTGGACACCGTACCACTGAACAAATGGAAAACTCCACAGAGTCTCGCTATCTGCCAGTGGGGGCGCCGTCCAAACTCACGGCAAATAAACGGCATCAGGTGCTCACCATCCACAACAAGAGGGCGTTTTATTTTCATGCATGTGGATGAAATACAATTTCTTCAGCAAACTCAGCAAAAACTGTTCAGGGGCAAAAATGAACTCTGCACTTAAAAGAAAAATAAAAAATGAAAGCACAAAATACTAAAAAGTAAATAAACGCTCTGCATCAGCACACTGGTATCAAAACACACATCCACAGCACGTCCTAATCCTACAGGAAACAATCCTTGCTTATCAGAGGTGCATATCTAAATTAAATAGCTTACCAATATCTTCTTGGGAGTAGGACAAAAGGAAACAGAAAACCTACATTAAAAAAAAAGTTTCTTTTCCCTAAATGTTTTCCTGAAGCTGAATTTGAAGTGGGGAGGACGTCAGTCGTCCTTGTCATTCTCGTTGAAGTCATCATCCTCCTCGTCGTCCTCCCCGACGTAGGACACCGGGGTCTCCACCCTGGAGCCGCTGTACTGAGACCTCTTGGAGCTTGTGGCCAGCATCCCATCTGCACCGTTGGTCAGGTCACTGGCAGAGAACCTCGTGCCTTTAGACGTGGAACCTGCCGCCGTGATGAACACGCCTCCAACAGTTCCCTGAGCCATTTCTGTCACATACGGCTCCAGCGCCTTTGGGACTAGACTTCTGGCCATTTTAAGGTCTTCAGCAGAGCAGCTCCCAGACTCCAGCCAGCAAGCCATGCCCATCCGCTTCAGCACTTCTATGTCACCTTGGATTTCAAATGTGTTGTCAAAATTAAACAGATACTCGAGTTTGTCGTTGGAGATGCTGCAGTCGATGACGGTCTTCTTGCTGGTGTTGACGACGATGAAGGGCAGGTGGATGACCGAGTTGGGTGGTGGCGGCCGGCTGGCCTGCTGCTCTGCGTGCCGGTTTCTCTGCACCAGGTTCTTGAAGGCAATTTGCTGTAGAATAAGTTCTCGAAGTTGAGACTGTTTCTGTTTTATTCTTTCAAGTCTCCTCTGTCTTTCCACCTCTAAGTTCTGACATTCCTGAGCCGAGTTGGTGGGCAGACCAATCCACTTAATCTCCTTCTTCTCCTTGGAGATGATGTTCATGGCCATCAGCACGTTTAAGGCATCATAGACGCGCCGTCTTATGTTCTTCTGGTCATAAGCTGACTCGTTTGGTAAGATGTGGTTGTCGGCAGCACTGAACTCTGCTACCAGCTCGTCCGCCACTTCGTTGTAGGAAGTGGTCCCTTTCCTCTGCACCTTCTCGCAGACCTTCATGGAGAAATGCCGCAGGCCCTTGCAATTCTCTCCTTTCCTGTTGCGCTTCCCTGCAGACCGAGGTGAGGAGTCAGAAGGCTGGTTCTGAGAGGCAAAGTGAGTGCTGGGGGTGTGTGAGCTTCCTACCACCAGGGTGTTTGACGCTGCAGGTCTCTGAGGCATACCAATCACCACTTGCTGGGCAATGCTGACATTGGACTGTCCAAAGGTTTTTGGCAAGAGCTGTTTCCCGAGCGGGTTGACGGTGGAGGGGTGAACGGCCACGAGGGACACCACGCCTTTTCCGGAACTAAGGTTCTGGTCTATGAAGACCTTGAGTTCTCCGTTGGCTTCAATTAGACCGGCATCTTTTGCCATGTTACCAGATCCGGAAAATCAATGCTACAAATGTTCACCTTCCCAGAGAAGAAAAATGATTTTTCTGGGCGCAGCCCCGGGGTCCTGGCGCAACGTGCAGGCTCGCGGCGTCCACCCCGGACACTGGCGGCGCCCGCCCGGCAGACCGGTAACTCTGACAGGTGGGCTTCCGGGGTCCTCGCCGCGCGCCTGTCACTAGGCCTCGGGCCGCCTCCGCACTAGGCGCCTCCCGCGCGCGCCGGAACCGGGTCCCCGCGGGCCGCCGTGGGGCGGCCTCCCCTCCCCCGCCCTGCGCGCTCCAGCCGACCCTGGCCCCGGCCCCACCTCCGCCGCGGGCCGCGGGCGCTGCTGTCGACCGGGAGGGCCGGGCCCGGGACCCCCGCCCCACGATTACCTGGGGAGCCCCCACCAGCGCCGAGCGCGCGGGGTCCCCGAGGCACAGGGGCGCGCTGGGCGCGGGAAAGCGCGGGTCGGGGCCGCGCGGCGCCTACAAGCGGCCGGGGCACGGGATAGGGTGGCCAGGGGTCCCGCCCGCGCCCCAGGCCCCCGCCCGCGGCTCCCGCGGCATCCCCTGCCCGCCCGCACCTGGCTACCCGATCCGGCCGCGTGGGTGGGGGCGCGGAGAGGGCGCGGTGCGGGGGCCGGGCCGGGCGGTCCAGGCCGCGGCGGGGTCCCTGCCCTGGGCCGAGCAGCGCCGGGGACCACAGGTTAATTTTTAATTGCTAGCTGTGTACGTAATTCAGGGATGCAGATTTCAAATATACGCCAAAAAGGTAGGCAAATCTGTGTGAATTTTTCTTTTAATTCCCAATATACTTACTTTTTTGTTATTTTCAAAAGCTTGTCTTGCTTCTTTGAATGTGCAGACGACTTCTGTGTACTCGCCCTCAATCTTGGCTAGCATTTTAATACTGAATTGGCTTTTTTCCTGTGAAGAAAACTAAAAAGATATATAATTATAAGCAAAAAAATAATTTTTTTATTGAGACAGTATCTCACTTAGTCACTCAGGCTGGAGTGCAGTGGTGATTATGTCTCACTGCAACCTTGACCTCCCGGGTTCAGGTAAGCCTCCCATCTCAGCCTCCCGAGTAGCTGGGACCACAGTTGTGCACCACCACCACACCTGACTAATTTTTATATTTTTTTGTAGAGACTGGGTTTTGCTATGTTGCTCAGGATGGTTTTGAACTCCTGGGCTCAAGCGATCTGCCCATCTCAGCCTCCCAAAGTGCTGAGATTATCATAGGTGTGAGCCACTGCACCTGGCCAACAGAGTAATTTTTTTTTTTTTTTTTGAGATAGAGTCTCACTCTGTCACCCAGGTTGGAATGCAGTGGCATGATCTCGGCTCACTGCAACCTCCGCTTCCTGGGTTCACACGATTCTCCTGCCTCGGCCTCCCGAGCAGCTGGAATTACAGGTGTGTGCCACCATGCCCAGCTAATTTTTTGTATTTTTAGTAGAGAGGGGGTTTCACCATGTTGGCCAGGCTGGTCTCAAACTCCTGACCTCAAGTGATCCATCCGCCTTGGCCTCCCGAAGTGCTGGTATTACAGGCGTGAGCCACCACGCCTGGCCGAGAGTATTTTTTTTTTTAAACCCACATGGTAACTTAATATACCAGATGAAAACTGCTAGGTGCTCTCTAGAAAACAGCCAGCATCCTACACCTCTTTCTTGGAGACAGCAATGGAGTAACACTTAATTCCAAACCACTGCATCTGCTATCTTCCTCATCATGTGAGTACCTCCTTTCAGTAGCAGTTCCCCTGGGCAGGGACAGTGACATAATTAACTGTGTTATATTCAGACATTAGCACATTCCTGCAAACCAAGGGTGTTTATGATAGCACTATTTATACTCATTAGTATAAGTAGATACCCCAAGGCATTCTGCTGTTGGACAGAAGCAACCAAATCAAAACCCAGCCTCTAGACAATGTCTTTGTCCTGCTTCCTGAAAATAAATAAAACTTCTATTGAACTGTATAATATAAACCCAGAGAACCATTACTTGTATGAAAAGATAGGTGACAAAACAACATTGAGGAGTTAAGATACATTTGGCCAAACCCATTCCAAAAAAGAAATAATAATTTTGTTTTAAATAAACTTTAATTATGTATAGTGACATTTTAACACATACAACCCTATTCCACTGCCCCTCAGAAAAAGAAAATTCTTCTCTGTGATGTATGGAGATATTGCCACATAGATAATCAAAATTTATACCCATGATACTCTGTGCAGTAAATAAGGCAATAGCTATATATGCGCTCATGGAGAATCATTTTTACTTTTCTATACAAGTAAATATAAAATGTACTTCAATTACATATATCTAAAAAGAAATCTTCTTTGTTTGTATACATAAATAAAATGTCACCGGAATTAAATCCCTGTTAATATAAAAGGCCTATAACATTTCTTAATCTTATAAATTTCTAACATATGAAAAGTCACATTAGTGCAAGATTTTTTTAAATTTGTATTTTCCAAAGGAGTTTTTAAAGTATTCATTTTCCAGAGAACATCTTGAAATAAATGAAAAATAGAAGTGCTTTTTTAAGAATAAATGTCTAATCAATGATTTTAAACTTTACTTAATTATGTATATTTCATATAATAGAAAACAGATTTTTAACCTAGTATTTTTTTAAGTATCCAAATTGGAATCAGCTAGATGACACACAATAACAACAATAGTAGGCCCACAATGAATGTTTCCATCCTTCCACACTTCATAAGCATAGCCATCTAAAAACAAACTTCAAGCATGGCTGAGTGAAGAGGTCAGTGAATTATCTTTGCAAAAAACAATGATAAACTGGATAAAATTGTCAAAAAAAATTCAGTACTCTGGAAAATGACAAAAGGCATACAACAAATTGAAAGTGTTTATTCAAGAAATACAGTGAATTTGTGGCATTATTAGCCTGAGCTCCTGCCATCCTGTCTCCCTACCCCTAGCTCTGTGGTGTAGCACTTCTACTGTGGTATAGCAGCAGGCTATGAGACTAGATGATGGAGAGGGCTGATTTTAAAGTGCAGAAAAATCTATGCTGAGGGGTGTTGTTGAAAACAATAACTGTTTTAGTGGCAAACAATTGAGGAAGATCAACATCACAGCTAAATTGGGGTTGCAATATGAGTTGGGGTGAGCTACAGATAAGAAAGTCAGCTGTAAATTTAACAGAGAGATCCAGCAATAAGACAGCCATAGTGAACTTTAAGAAGCTCCCATATATCCCAACTGTTATGAAAGGCTATATTCACTCAGGAAAGTCCAGAGATTGCCCTAGCTAGCAACGTGTCCCTGGCTACATGTGAAGCCTTGTGTATCCAGAAAGTAAAAGCCAAGGCAGATTTGTAAACTTCCTGAACTTTGAATGTGACTATATTTGGAGACAGGGCCTTTATGGAGGTAATTAAGGTTAGATGTAGTCATAAGGGTGGGATACTGTACTGACAGAAGGGAAACCTCTAGGTATCCAGGTTTAAAAATAAAAAAATAAGACTTAAACAAAATGAGTAGAAACATTAGTAGCTACACACTACAAGAGAGACAGACCCTACAGAATGAATCTGGGCAGAAACTGTAGCTGCTATAATACAGTACCAAAAATGTCCACTTCTAAAAAACAATTATAAGACATGAAGAAACTGACTTGTACACAGGAAATAAAGCATTAAATGAAAACTATCCCTGAAGGAGCTGAGATATTAGACTTAGAAGACAAAAATGTCAAACCAACTTTTATACATATATTCAAAACTAAGGAAACATATTTAAAGATTAAATGAAAAGTACTAAGACAATGAGTTGTCAAATAGAGAATAAAGATACAGAAAATGAAAAAATTCTGGAGTACAAAAGTACAATAACTAAAATGGAAAAATTTCACTAGAGAGGCTTAAAAGCAGATTGGAACTAGCAAAGAAAGAATCCATGAAGTCGAAGGTAAATCTCTAGAGAAAACTGAATGGAGACTCACAGACCAGTGGAATACATCAAGCACACCAACCAATATATGAATAATTGGAGTCCTAGAATGAGAGGAGTGAGAAAGAAGGGAAGAAAAGGTTTTTGAAGAAACAATGTGTGAAAACCTCCCAAATTTAATGAAAAACAGTCTCACCTAACCTGATCAACCAAATCCCATTTTCAAAAACACACAGATATGGCTGGGCATGGTGGCTCATGCCTGTAATCCCAGCACTTTGGGAGGCCGAGGAAGGCAGATCACCTGAGGTCAGGAGTTTGAAACCAGCCTGGCCAACATGGCAAAACCCCGTCTCTACTAAAAATACAAAAATTAGCCAGGCGTAGTGGCGGGCACCTATAATCCCAGCTATTCGGGAGCCTGAGGCACGAGAATCGCTTAAACCCGGGAGCCAGAGATTGCAGTGAGCCGAGATCATGCCACTGCACTCCACCCTAGGCGACAGAGCAAGACTCTGTCCAAAAAAAAAAAAAAAAAAAAAACACCACACATATACACACAGATCTATCCCTAGACATGCCATAGTTGAATTTTTGAAAAAGACAGAAATGATTCAACACAGAAGGGAACCACATTAAGAACATAAACCAACTTCTCATCTGAAACAATGGAGGCCAGAAAGCAGTTGGGATATTCAAAGTGCTGAAAGGGGGGAAAAGTTTATCAACCAAGAATATTGTATAAGCAAAACTATCATTTAAAAGTGAAGGCAAAATAATGACACTCCCCAATAAATGAAGGCTGTTAGAAATCATTGCTAAAAATCTTGCCTTGTAAAAAAATCTAAGGGTTCTTCTATCTGAAAGAAAATAATAGCACACAGTAACTAGAATACACAAAGAGCTAAAGACCACGGGGAAATATAAAATGCTGTATAAATATTTTTTTCTATTTTCTTAACTGTCACAAGCTAGGCATACTTCCCATTTTATAATGTACAAGTGGTAGAATTTTACCATCTTTTGGCGTCAAAAGGCAGACTGTGAGTGAAAATAGGACAATATTAATGACCAACCAAGTATCCTGTCCATCAAATACTTAATCCTAAGTGGCTCTGCTGTCAGATCCATAAAAGTGAAAACACATTTAAGCAGAAGCATGTAAAGAGCTAGTTTTAAAATGTAGGTTGTCCTTTCTTTAGATTTTTATACTTGAGCCTCAAAGGGGGTTATTTGGTTTCATAAAATTAAAAACATGTCATCTGTATTCCTTCCTTCCTTCTGCAAATATGTATTGAGCATATTGTTTGCCAGGAAGGTGCCTGTCATTCTGCTCTGTAGTAGTAAAAAGGCAGTGGCAATTAAGAGTTTGGAGTTGCCTCATTTAAAGGCTCCCTAGGAAACATGTGACGAAAACAAAAGTGATTCTGTACGTGCAGTGAGCAATACACCCAAAAGGGCAGCCAGAAATGCCAGGGAAAAGGGAGCAAGAAAATTATAAAAACGGCTTGTGAGAAAAATAGCAGAAGAAACTCAGGGAACAAATTTGTTAGAAACTTTTTGCTTTGTGGTTTATTTCACAACTTGCCATCTAATTTCACTCCACGTACTTAACCATCCATGCTTGTCTCCAGCATCGCACTACCAGTCCTTTCAATGTGTTCTATTCAGGACTTCTTACCTGTACCTGAATGCCTCCCAGACACCTTCTCTCTACAAGTTTTCAAGCTACTTTGGTGAGTCTAGGGTGAGAGTAAGCAACTAATTCAGTCCTGAATCCCTAAGACTGGTTTAGAAGCTCTGCCCACTCCCATGAAAGTTCCCTCAACAAACAAAAACAATTGCCATTCAGTCAACATTTATAGGTATAATTAGGTAATGGGGAATTTTGTTTAACACTATTAGTACCACCAGCCCAAGACAGCAAAAAGTTCACAACTTTGGAAAAGAACTTGAGTTCTGGACAAGGCTCAATGTCTTATTAATTGGGGGCCATAAGTCCCACAGGTAAATCTTGGGTTGTATCTGTTGTTAGATTCCCCACTGGTTGGTGCCTGTCAAAAGTATCCTGCTTGGGCAACAAATGTTATCATTATCCTACTTCTTAACCATATAACCTTTGGAAAGCTACTTAACCTCTCTGCAATGTTTTCTATTTTCTATTCTGAAAATGAATGTGGTAATAATATCCAACTTGAAGAGATATTGCAAGAATTAAATAGGACAGCTTATGTAAAATGCACTTAGCAACTTAATGGTCTATATAATTATTAGTTTCTCTTGGTTGCAATGACTTGGAAGCATTTTAGGATCTTGGAGCATCTTAGAGCCACTGCCATGAAAAACTGTTATTCTTGCTCTGCTTTAGGTAAATGGTTCAACCAGTCTTTATTGTATTCGAATCATCTATCTTTTCACTTTTAATTATTTTAACTGGGCCCTATCCCCGTACCCCTTTTCCCTAGGTAGAAGTTTAATGTAGTTCCAATCCTCATTTTTAACTCAATACTTTACTAGGGAAGGCACAACTGTGTACATTAAACCATATGAAGATTTGAATCAACACAGAGCTATTCAACTCTTTCTTCTACTAATAAAACATCATCATTAAATCTTAATTTAGTATGGCTTATAAGAATATAACGGATATATCAAGCTATATCTTTGATGAGGAAATGTTTGTTGACAAAATTTATCTATAAATGACCACATCATTTCTGTTATTAGATGGCATTCCATAAATGTTCTCTAAGAACGCTGTTTAATCATTGAAGAGGGTAAATGTGAAGAACAAAACAGAGTGTGGATAAAAGCCAAAAAGCACGGGTAAAGTCAGTTAAGTTGTCCTCATTTATTTTCTTGATGTTTATATTTCTCAAAGAAATACATGTGCATTGTTTTAAAAGTCAAGAGCTCTTCAAAATAATAGCAGGCTCCTACCCCCACCTATTCCCACCCGTGTATCAACTCCTTTGAGGCAAAAAATTAAAACACTTTTATCTGTGTATTTTTCTAGCAACTTATCTCCATATTTTAAAAATGACATCCTAATACAACTATTTCTTTATTTGTTCATTTAGGCATTATCTGTTAATCTGCTAACATGGAAGATGAAACTTTAGCTTTTTTATGATCTCTCCATACATATTTCTCCTTTCTTACCTACCCAAAATAATAGTATCACATTATTTGACTAAATCAATATTCATTGAGCAATATCATGTGCAATTAGTCCTACTTTTGTCTCCTTTTTCTCCCTTTGGTATTAATACTCAGCCGTGATCCTGGACTGTCCTTTTACCACCACCCTGGAAGTTCCCTGTGGCCCCACTGGTATTGGGGCCTCAGGTTTTGTGATCCCATATTTTCCAATGTTTTGGTTCATTCCCTCTTTTTGACAAACTACAAAAAGGGTATCTTTTTGGAGACCCTGCATATCTAAAGATATGTTTTCTACTTTCACACTTTGATTGATAACTTTGGCTGCTATGGAATTCTAGTTAAGAATTTTCTCTATGAATTTTGGAGACCTTGCTTCATTGTCTTTTAAATTTCTAAGTTGCTATGAAAAGTCCAATGCGAATCCTTGTATGGAACCAGGTTTTTTTTTTTTTTTTTTTTTCTGTTTGGAAGTTTTTAGGATCTCTTCTTTATTGTTTTTCCATTGAATATGCTGGTGGGTCTCTTAAATCTGGCAACTCATGTATTTCACTTATAAAAAATATTCTTGCTTTTTTTCATAATTTTCCTCTTTCACTTTGCTCTCTTTTAATTGGGACCGACCACTAGACAGAGGTTAGACATTTCTAATTAATCTTTTCTCTTATTATCAATCTCATTGTCTTTTGGTTGAACTTTCAGAGACATTTATTCAACTTAATATTCTCATTTTTGCATTTAATTATTTTAATTTCTGCTATCATATTTTTTAATTTCTAAGAGTTCTTTTCTGTTCTCTCAATATTCCTTTCAATAATATCCTGCTTTCATTTCAGACATGCGATTACTTTCCTCTCTGACAATATTAATTATAGACTTGGGCATTTGGGAAATTTTCTTATGCAGTATCATCTGTTTCCTCCAAGATTGGCTTTCCTATTTGTATATTTTGTTACCATCACTGCCTTTTAAATCAGACACGTTCCTCAAATGTCTTTTGAATGACAGTTCCTATTTAACAGTTTCACCCTAAAAAGCTCACTGGCAATTCTGGGTATGGGAAAGGGCTAGCTAGTTGATGGGCTTTCAGCAGAGGGCGATGAGACAGTGTACCTGCATTTACGCTGGGATGGAGTACTCCTCCAAATGTCAGTATCTGTCGTTCTTTTTCTTGAATGTATCTGACAACCATATATCCTCCTTCAACCAACTGCTTGTTGGAGGCAGTGGCTGTCAATGTTCTGGATGTGGATTTCAGGAAGAGGTTAACTAAATGTGTGTGCAGGAGGGAGGCGCCCACAATTCAGCATGTAAACTTTCAGGTCATTCTGCTTTCAGTGAAGTACCACATCTCTGCCCTTGACTGTACCTTGGGCCTCAAAGCTGAGTTTCTCTAATTCAATCTGTCAAAAAAGTGAATCTCAGGGCTTCTACTAAGGTGTGGAGGGCCCAGGTGGAGGAACTGCAGGTTTCCCTATCAAACCTTCTCAGATGCTTCTTTATCAGCTCTTTGAGTCCATCCCCCTATGTCCATATGCTTTGCTTCTAACAACTCTCACTTGCAGGCTTCTTTAGAGCCCTACTTTTGGGCTACAAGTACAACTTCAGCAGCATGCCAAGAGAGTCTGTAGTACCTGAAAATGTACATACCCCCCCCACCACCAGCTGAAGCTCATTACTTCAGGTACACAAAAGTGTACCTCTAGCCTAGAGTGTAATATACACTCCAAAGCTTCCCTACAAGATGAGACAGAGGCTGGAATTTAGCCTAAGATCCCACTCTTGCTTCATTTCCTTCCATTCACTGCTTCCTACTTTCCCCATTCTCATACTGGTTTCTCCTTGGAACACCTCCTTAATAAACAATTCCATATGAATCCACATCTCAGGTTCAACTTTTGGGAAATCTGGCCTAAGACCATCATCTGGTTGCTCAGATTTGGGAAAGTATCTGGGAGTCTAACCACTGTTTATCAAACTTGCAACTAATTCTGTTTTCATACATGACCCACACCCCCACTACCACCAGAGACACCTGGAACCTCCAATTCCTGAACCTTTCTACTGTTCAGGAGGCTGAGACTTCCAGGCTTCTGGAAGTTTGTGGAAAATGTAGAGCACCTTCATGTATTGTCATTTTAAATAGAAACTTTAGAAACATTTTGCATTTGATAGAGTTGAGTTCAGGCTATTCTTCCAAACATCTTGGGGTGCAAGCCCAAGATCCTCTTGGAAGTGTGTGCTTTAGTAGAAAAACATGCAGACAGATTACCTGACTTAAATCTATAGAAATTAAGAAGTTATATAGTCAGACAAACGTGGGTTCTACTACTTTACTAGCTGTGTGATGATAGGCAAGTTACTAAACCTCTCTAAGTCACAATTTTCTCACCTGTAAAATGAAGAAAATATGCTTATCACAGTGCCTGTCACATAGTAAGTCTTATCCTTTGATTTATTTTCTGGTGGTGATAAGTTTATGGTACTGCCGCCATATACCCTCACCTAGTTCCCACATTTCAGAGATGTTTGGCCAAGGTTAAGGGTATAGTCTAAGAAATTCATTCTCGAAATGTATTCCCCAGACCAGCAACAGCTGCAGCATCACTGGGAACTTGTTAAAAGTGAAAATTCTCAGGTCCATCTCCAGAAACTTGGGGAGTGGAGCCCAGCCATGTGTATTTTAACAAGCCGTCAAGGGATTCAAATGTATTGCAGGTGTAAGAAACACTTGCATCAGAAAAAATAAATAAATAAATAACAGACCCACACGGAGAATAAAGCCAAGACTTAGAACCCAGTTGGTGTGGTATCAAAGATCATAAGCAGAGCTAATCAATATACATGACACCCCCACCCCTGATTAGGGATAGGGGAAAGTCATAATTATAGCTTTATTATTAAAGTAGCATAGTTGTTAATATAAAGAGCATTATGTGATAAATGAATATAAATAGGAGCTAGGAATGAAAGAGTGAAGTGCAGATTTAAGTTTGTAAAACTGACAGTGAGTCTATGCCACGTAGCTTTCAAATACTAATAGAGAAGTGCATTAATGCATGAAAAAAATAATTTCTGAGCCCAGAAGCTGAAGAAACACTTGAAAGAATCCTTAACTGTATTAATCCTTTTTGAAACAAGCCACTATATGTACATGATCTGGAACATTTGCTGAGGAAAACTTATTTTAAGTTGTCACTTTGACAGTGTCACAACTATTGAAATTCCTCTGAAATTCTGAATTAGTGCTATGTAAGCAAATTATCTCTAGAAACAAAGAAGAGAACCTAAGAGCAAAATATAGCTCACTGAATCCACCACTCAGAATAGGGAGTTGGAGTGGGGAACAGAGCAAGCAGCAAATATTCCAACATCACCTGCATGGCAATTTATAGTATCTTCAAGCCAATCAGGTGATTTACTCCAAGGAGCACAAATCAGAGAGACAGGAAAGCCAATTCTTATAACACTGCAAAGATCCTACAGTTTTTAAAAGAGAAAAGAGCCCTTTCCCTGGAGGAAGTGCAGAGTAATTCATACAAGTTCTTGTTTTAGGGGTGATGCCCACTCAATTTACTTTGACATATAATCTGCCTGAGCAGCTCAGCTTAATCTCCTGCATGGCAGAGCAGAGGGCTTCCCTCCAGCCCTTTAAGGCCTCTGTGTGAAAATCTCAAAGCTTTGCTGTTGCCATCCAGGACATAGCAGCTCTGAATGCCACCACAGGGAATATAAGACAGATTGGCTGAACATCCAAAAGAATACATATGCTATTTAGTCAATGTAGAGTGCTTTAGCACCCTACGCTAAAGCACACCAATACTCAGAATCAATATCCAGAACACTGGCAGCCACTGTCTTCACCAAGCAGTAGGTTGAAGGAGGGTTTATAGTTGTCAGATAGATTCAAGAAAAAAGAATCACAGATACTGACATTTGGTGGAGTACTCCATCTCAGTGTAAATGCAGTTACACTGTCTCATCACCCTATGCTGAAGCCCACCAATACTCAAAATCATGGCTGACAGAGGGAATTCGTAGTCTATGCCTGGGAGCATCCTCTGCCAAGCATGTTACCACACATTCTCAGTGGCCCTTCCTAGCACACCTATGAGGTAGGTGCTGCTTGAATTGCATTTTGTTGGTGAAGAAATTAAGCCTCAGGGATGCTAAGTAACTTGCTTAAAGTCAACCAGATATTGCAGTGGAGTCCAACAATCCCAAGGCTACCTGAATCTGAAAAGGCTGTTCTTAACCATCATGCTTTAATGTCTTCATTGAGAGTCCAGCCTATTTCAACAATTGCAATTTGTAATAAATATGCAATTCTCTTTGCTTCACAAGAAAAAAAAATTTAAAAAGCAAGATTATGTTAATGATATATGCATAAGGACAATATATTGTTTCTGGTTGGACACTGGATCTCTTTAGCCTCGGATAGCTGTAAAGTCTGTCAGAAATGTGTCTTCTTCCTAAACTCATTGTGTAAACAGAGATTCAGCTGGTCCCGACAGTGCTTGCTTTGAGATTGGTGATGCTTTTGTTGCCATAGACACCAGATTTCAACACACCACTGAGCATGGGGAATCCATTCCGCACAAAGCAATGCAGTCAGCAGATGGGCACCGTAACAGCTAACTGCACATAATGCCATAACCAATATTTGTTTTGCCACCTCTCATTTAGATGATGTTCTCACCAATGAAGTCTGTAAGACTTTGTCTCTCATCTGAAAAACCGCTTCTTTATGACCCAGATAGCCATACTCACACATTAACGGGCCGAAGTCGTTCATTTCTCTGGTTTGGTGAATGGTTAAGGCTATTCAGAAAGGAAAATCTGATTTTACACAAAACACTCCTTTATTCATCTTGCAAAAAGAAAGATCAAATACTTCTTGAAAATTCAGTTTGTTCAAGTGGCTAGCACCCCAAGAATAATGGGCCTGTTATCTTGGTAGGTTTCCCTAGTAACTAAAACCATAAAGAAAATAATTAGGAAGAGTTTAGTGACGTGTGCATGTGTGTGTATCTTATATCCACATGCATACATATATCTGTGTGCGTGTGTGTGTATAATGAGGACAACTTTTTTTTATGAGACAAACCAAACAATCAAGACATGGTACTTGACTGGTGGTCAGAGATGAACTTGTAAAGTTGAATCATGAAAAGAAAGACTTGGACACATCATGAACTGTTGGACCAGTTTACCTAGAGACCATGACCATGTGAGGATACTACAGGACCGTCCTGTCACTTGAAGGAAATCCATTGTATATTGTGTTGCAGCCAATCACATGATAAACATCATTTACCAAATTAACCAGCAAAAGTGTAATTAGAGAAGTTAGTAAGAAATTTATATAATCTGTCATTTTCACATTCAAAGGCCAATACATTTTAAAAAATTCCATTAAAACAATCTCCTTATAGAGCACTGGGAGTTTAACTATTGGCAAAATAAATAATTAAGTTCATTTAAAAGAATTTTTACTATGTTTATTTTTCCATTTGCTCTAATAAAAATTATGAACTATGTTCTCTTTAAATATAATACAAATAAGTTTGGGTTTTAGTGGAATGTATATTAACAGATGAAAAGATATAAATAAAATGTATCTAAAGCTTTTTGGATTATTTTGAGTAGGTCTGTTAAATCATTGTGATTAGAAAATCAAGAAGAAAATGATCATTTTTAATTTAAATTAATTTAGAGTTGGAAGAGAAACTGCTTTATGTGATGCAGGTAAAAATCAATTGAATGACTAAAATAGGAGTGGTATCATGATTATCAGGCTCATGTTTTCTGTTTGGGAATGATGTAATAAAGTGTCTCTTGAATTATGATGAAATAATTTAAAACTGCTGGGATGTGGTTTGTTTGGGCCTTTAAAGGAATTCTAAAAACTTGCTGTATACAGTGAAAAATTACATCTATTAGGAAAAAGAAATCCATGCATTTGCTCATTCATTCAATGGATGTCAGCAGATTCCTTAAACCTGCAAGGAGATGGACCAGGAAGTGACTCTTTCCTTCAGTATAACCTACAAACCAGAGAGCTGGTATTCTTGCACCTATGGAAGAAGTCATCTTCAGTACAAGAAAAAATGATGAAAATTATGATGTTTGTGGACTCGGTTACATTTGTTAACAGGCAACCCCACAAAATTGGGGAAAAATTGTAATTCAGAGTGTTGTGCTCAAGTTTGCTCTGTAAACCAGCAAGAGCAGCATCACCTGAAGCTCAGTAGAGATGCAGAATCCTGGGGTACACTCCAAACCCACTGAGCTAAAAGCTGATTTTTAACAAGATCCATGGGGTTTGTATGCACACTAAAATATGAGGATCACCAACTGAAATCACAGATTTGGCAACCAGCCTGGGGAAGATGGAACCCCATCTCTGCCACTGACTTGCTGTGTGATTTGGAACAAGTTTCTCAACCTCTCCGTGCCTCAGTTTCCCTACTGGATATGATGGCGATAATAATGGTGCCTATGTTATAAGGTTATTGGTAGTATTAAGTGACATATATGTAGAATCTAAAAACGTCTAACTCATAGAAGGTGAGAGTAGAATGGTAATTGCCAGAAGATGGAGGTGGTTGGGGGAAGATGGGCAGGGAAAGGGTAGAAGTTGGTAAAAGGGTACAAAGTTTCAGTTACACAGGAGGAATAAGTTCCAATGATTTACTGCACAGCAAGGTGACTATAGTTAATAATAATGTATTCTATATTTCAAAGTTGCTAAAAGTGGATTTTAAATGTTCTCACCACAGAGAAATGATAAGTATGCCAGGTGATGGATACATTAATTAGCCTGATTTGCTCATTCCACAATGTACACATCTATCAAAACATCACACTGTATCCCATAAATATATACAATTATTGTCAATTACAAATAATAAAATTTTAACAAAATTACACTTAGCTACATTTTGAAAAGTGGCATAATACATGAAAAATGCCTACAACAGTGTGTGGAAATAAGTGATCAATCATTGTCAGTTCGTATTACATCATTTTATCATTCACTGGGTTCTGGGTCATGGATAACAAAGGGTCTAAGCTGTAGCCCATAGACGTGCCTGCTTTCTGGTAGATCTGTAATCAGGCAATTAGGAATTGAACCCAGCCTACAAAAATCCAGCTTGCCCAATCCTGCTGCCATTTCAAGCCAAACTTCAGGGTTTACTTAGGCAGTATGCAACACACACCTGCCTGAAAAATGGGGACCGCTCAAATCCAAAGATTGAATGAAATCCTACACATGCATTTTGTTTGGTAAAAGTTGAAAGGAATAATAAGGACACTCAGTTTCTATCCTGGAAACCTCCATCCTAATTTTCTGCTCATCAGTTTGGCATATATTAAAAACTCTGAAGAAACCCAGTGAGAACACAGGCACTCCCAAATGCTGGTGGAGAGAATAGAAATTGATGGAACATTTTTGGAGAGCAATTTGATAATCCTCTATCAAATAAAAAATACATGTAAACTTTGACCCATCAATTGTGTTTTAAAAATTTATCCTACATAGATACTTGCAAAAGCAGGCAAAAATACAAATATAGAAAGACATATATATGTGTGTATACACACATATATATTACATGTACGCATTTTACTCTGTAAACCACCTGCCCCTTCGTCACTTAGTAGGAGTCTCTAGGCGTCTTGGGTATCAAATCGAAAAAGCAGTATATATAGCGTTTGTTACTATCCACGGTTTCAGGCATCCACTGGGGGCCTTGGAACACATCCCTGGCAGATACAGGGAGACTACTGTATATGTATATGCATGTATATTATTTATGGCACTATTTATTTGTGATAGCAAAAAAGAAGAAATGAGTCAACCTAAATGTCCATCAATAAGGGTTAAATTATAGTATAACCATTAAATGGAATGAGTATAAAGAATGTTACATCTCTATACAATATGCAAAGATGTCCAATGTACATTAAGCAAGAAAGTAAGCTGTATAATATATGTATAATATGATAATTTGTATAAGTGGATAAAATATAGGTATTTTATGGAATAGACTTCTAAAAAAAGAAAAAAGTTAACTTTTAAAATAAATTTTAAATAAACAATTTAAAGACTCATTTTGTTTTAGATCTTTGTGAGAGAAATAATTTTTAAGAAAAACTAGGAAAAAAGCAGTTGCTGCCATAAAGTATATTCCCCAAACTTTACTAGTTTAAATCTTAATTAATAGTTAATATCTTAGCTTTCATTTAATTGGCAGCTAGCTGACAGCAAAAACAAGATACCTTACAGGTGTCATGACGCATGGAGGTGACCTGGAAAAGGGAAGAGAAACACCAAAGGAAGGAAAAGCGAATGGATAAAGGAGGTCACAAGACAGACCTTGCCAAGGGATGCCAAAGGGCAGATGCTTTGGTAACAACCCAATAGCCATTTCCTTCTTCCTTTTTTCATATCAGAACCTGTGTCCAATGATAGAGGTTAAAAATAAAAACACTAGCCTTCCCAGCCTCCCTGAAACTAGAACTGACTAATGACCAAGTGCTGGGCAATGAGTCAGAGGGAAATTCTTCTAGGATAGAGTGTTCTACATGACATTAGAAAAAGATGCAGGGGAAAAAAGCCTCAGACTTTCCCTCACTACTTCAGTTAGGGGAACACGATTAGTGTACGATTAGTACTTCAGTTAGGGGAACAATGAATTACAGCAGCCATCTTACAACATTGAAAGGTGAAACAGCTCAAACACTGAGAATAGCAGAGAAAACGCCTGGAAAGAGCTTGGATTTGGATAACTCTCCTGAGTTGCTGAAACAATCCTGGAGTGGCCTAGTTTTCTACTCCTTGCTAAGTGAGGTAATAAATGTTCTCATTATTTAGATGACTTTTTATTGGGCATTTTGTTATTTACAGCTAAAAGCATTGCCCCTTATACAGCTGCCAACCACCTGCCTTAGAAATGAGCCAAAGACCCAATTAACAACTTTGCAATAATTTGTTGTTGTTGTTGTTTTCAAATCACAGCAGGAAGATAGATACGTCATATTAAGTATCATTTTCTATCTGATATTCAGAATTACCTTAGGTTTTCTGTTAGTAGTAGCGAAAAAGGCTACCATTGATTCCATTTAGCAGCTACTATGTGCCAAGCACTGTGCTAGGTACTTTGTCTAGGACTGGTCATCACAGCAACTTCCAAACCAGTCTCCTTTGGCTGGGGAAATAAAATCACATCTACATGTTTCCCAGCTTACTTAAACAATTTAGCATTTCGTTACAAATGTAAACTACAAACCACTAGTTGTACTTGTGACTTTGTCACCTACAGAAATCACAGATGCATACCACAGTGTAGCTGTGGAGGGTATCTCAAAATATCATTGACTCTCATCACTGTTTCAAAAGTATCATCATCCTTTAGCCTGCTGTAAAATCTTATTTAATGTGTTGATAAAGGAGCACATACGCTACTGCTCACACATTTTAAAAATGTTTTGGTAACGGCGTTGCAATATAATTGACTTCCTTTGTAATTCTGTGTGTTTTATTTTATGCATTTAAAAATATTATTCTAAGAAGAGGCCTTGGCACAAAAGGGGTTTAAACCCCCCACAACCAGTCCCCCTTGTTATCATTCTTAATATTGTCAATCCACTCTTAATACAGAAAACCAGGGCGATCTTTCTAAAAGGTAAGTCAGATCAAGATTTTTCCTCCTTTAAACACGAAACAAATGCGGACTCCTAACTTTGACTAACTTGGGCCTCCAGGATCTAATTTTACCCTGCTCATGTCTCCTTCCATGGTTTCAAACTTCTCTATCCCCTGCTCTCTCTCTGCTCCAGCCATGCTAGCCTCCTTCTATTTCTTTGAAATATCCAAGTCATTTCCTACCTTAGGGGCTCTTGCCCTCTGCCTGGAATGCCTGTTCTTAGAGCAGCCACTTGGTTCCCATGCTCTAGTGATAAGCCAGGACGCTGCCTCCACAGAGAAGCTTTCCTACCAAACAGCAGCCCTCCCCTTTCCCACCTGTCCTCAGTTAGTTCCTGATTACATCCTTAAGAGCACTTACCTAAAATGATTGATGTTATTTTTTTTCTTCACCAACAGAGTTATATTTTTGTTCACTACTGAACCCAAGAATCTAGTAAGTTGCCTCACACCGTGTAGAAACCTGACATTTACTGAATGAATGAATGAAAACCAGAACAAGTCAACAAAGAAGCTCTTATTAATCAATTTACAGGTGAGGAAATTGAGGCTCAACGATATTAAAATATTTTTCCCACTTTGGGAGGCCGCGGTGGGTGGATCACGAGGTCAGGAGATCGAGACCAGCCTGGCTAACACCATGAAACCCCGTTTCTACTAAAAATACAAAAAATTAGCCGGGCACGGTGGCAGGGGCCTGTAGTCCCAGCTACTTGGGAGGCTGAGGCAGGAGAATGGCGTGAACCCGGGAGGCGGAGCTTGCAGTGAGCCCAGATAGTGCGCACTGCACTCCAGCCTGGGGGAAAGAACAAGACTCTGTCCAAGATCACTCAGTGGCAGAATTATTATTTTAACTGAGATCCTAGGTCTCCCCCGAATCCCTCTGCCATTGTCTGCTACATTTCCCCCAGTCAGTGGAAAGCCGAATGGACCCAATATAAGTTTTTATGGCATGATTTCTTGAGACTTCAATGCCCCATTGCTTAAGGATATCTGCCTAAGAAATCCTTGGAGCTACTCCAGGAAGGCCAAGTTAAGTGAAAATACATGCCTGGAGAGAGGGATTCTCTGTCTCTTGCCACATACACATACATCTTTTTCTTATATCTGAACCTTGTAAACATAAATACAAACAACAAAATCAAATAAAAAGAAAAGAACCTAGAAAAGGGTAAACTAAGGAAGAAACAAATTAGATAAACCCAGGGGAAATGTCTACACATAAATATAGATCTGCTAAGGTACTGTACGCTAGCTTATATGGACCACAATTCTAGCCATACACTCCCTAGTAGCCAACACAAAGTGAGAAACAGAATCAGTTACATGACATATTTTGAAGATTTTTAAAATTCAATTGCCAGGAGTCACACAACTATTACTGTCTCTACAATCTGAGAGCAATTCCTCTTGTGGGTCTTTAGAGTGAAAGGTAGGATATAGTAATCAGCATTCTAAACTATAGACCTTTTAAATAAACATATCAAGCTTCATAGAATGGTGTCTTATAGTATGCCTTAATAGAGGTGGCAGGTATAATGCCAAAACCTATGCAGCACAGTATTGCCTTGCTATTCAAAGCATGCTCTATGGACCCGCAACATCAGGATCACCCAGGAACTTGCAGCTCTACAAGATCTGCGGGTGATTCCTAAGCACATTAAAGTTTAAGAAGCACTGCTTTATTGGTTGAGCTTAAGCCATGAAAAATAATTGGAAGAAACTACAATTCATTCATTCATTCATTTAACAAATATTTACTGAAACTTTGGCAGTAGGAAAGGATTTCTTTAAACATGACACCAAAACTACCACCGTAAAGGAAAATATTGATAAATGGGACACCACTAAAATTGAGTGATATTTGCAAACACACACAAAGCTGGGCATCTAAAAATGTGTCAGGCAGTCTTGGCAATGAACATCAATGAAACCAAAAATGCCTACCCTTATGGAGCTTACATTCTAATCAGCGAAGACATAAATAAACAATTTAAGTAAAACAAATCACGAAAGGGGGTAAGTTGAGGGTGGGGTTGCAATTTTAAATAGGGTAGTCAGGAAAAGCCTCATTGAGGAAGTAAAGACCTATACAAGGCCAGGCACAGTGGCTCATGACTGTCATCCCAGAACTTTAGGAGACTGAGGCGGGCAGATCACTTGAGCCCAGGAGTTCCAGAACAGCATAGGCAACATGGTGAAACTCTGTCTCTACAAAAAATACAAAAAATTAGCTGGGTGTGGTGGCGCATGCCTGTGGTGTCACCTACTTGGGAGGCTGAGGTAGGAGGATCACCTGAGCCCAGGAGGTCGAGGCTACAGTGAGCCATGGTTGCACCACTGCACTCCAGCCTGGATGACAGAGTGAGACCCTGTCTCAAAAAATATATATATATAGATCAGGTGCGGTGGCTCATGCCTGTAATCCCAGCACTTTGGGAGGCTGAGGCGGGTGGATCACCTGAGGTCAGGAGTTCGTGAGCAGCCTGGCCAACATGGTGAAACCCCATCTCTACCGAAAATAAAAAAGATTAGCTGGGCGTGGTGGCACACGCCTGTGATCCCAGCTACTTGGGAGGCTGAGGCAGGAGAATCGCTTAAACCTGGGAGGCGGAGGTTGCAGTGAGCCAAGATCATGCCATTGCACTCCAGCTTGGGCAACAAGAGCGAAACTCCATCTCAAAAAAAAAAAAAAATATATATATATATATATACCTATACAAGGTCAGAGATCTAGCTATAAATATCTAGGGGGAGTGTTCCAAGTAGAAATAACTATAAGAACAAACACACTGAGGCAGGAAAGTAACTAAAACAGGAAGATGGCCAGTGTGGTTGAAGAAGAATGAGCAAAGAGTAGAGTAGGAGTGTAGGAGTGTAGGAGGCTAGATCACGTGGGGCCTTCTCAGCTATTTTTAAGAATCATAACTTTAACTGTGAGATGACAAGCCACTGGAGAAAAAGTAATAGGGAGCCACTGCAGTATGTTGAGCAGGGAAATAACATGATGAAAAGTGTCTTTTGAAATACTTGTTTCTTAGAGGTAGACGGAACGGCTTGAGTGGGAGATTCTAGCTCAAAGTATATTGCACCAATCCCAATATATGGTGATTCATTCATTCAACTACTTATTAGGTGGCAAAGATGTGCCCAGTAATGTGGGGAGGATCTAAATTAGAGCGATAACTGAGGGAATTGCCAGAGGAATGTGAATATAAATGACATCGGAGGGGAAGAAACCCAGGACATACTGACAGATTATTTATAGAGAAATGACACAAATTCGCAATTCAATCTAATCAAGGTTTATGGATCACCTACTGAGGGCAAAGCCATGTGCTGGCTATGACTTGCGGGGTGGGGATGGTGTATAAAACTTGTACTTTCCCCTCAAAGGGCTTCCAGCCTGGCGTGCTTAGCCCCTGCCCTACACTTTTCAAGCCAGAAAGTCTTGAATTCCCACAGCTGCAGCTGGCACTGGAACTAACTGGTTTGCTCAGGTTAAGAGATGGCTGTTGTTTTTGTTGTTGTTGTTGTTATTCTTGAAGCTTGTTCCATCTCCTGGGAGCAGGGGCCAAAACACCTCAACTTGATTAGTACAAAAAATATAGATCTGGTTTGGCAGGAGGGCAGAAGAGAGGTCTTAATAAATGTCTTTGTGGATCAGTGTTGCAGATTGGCCTGAACCACCAGTTTTTGGGCAGAGTCCTTCTGGTCTGCTTCCACCTCTGTGACGTAGTGGTCACACACTCTTCCCATTCCATTCTGGAGAAAAGGCCTCAAGGCATGGAAAAGGGAAGAGGCAAGATTAAGGAAAACAATTGGAAAAAAATTTTTGAAAACCTCCTGCTGCCAGACTACAAGGTGAGGGGAGCAGACACGAATGCAACGCAAATGATATGTAAATATCTCTGTGGCCTTCTAAAAGGTTTTCTACAACTGGAATGGCATTTGAAAAACTGCTGGCAGTAAGAGTGACTCAGAAGCAGAGCAAACTATTTCAAGACAACTTTGTGACATAAACCTTTGCTGCCCAGCTAACACAGTGCACATTCTTTAGTAATCTTTTTCTCACTTGAATCAACCTCACCTGCTATAAATAAAAAAAATTAAAAAAGCGGTCCTCAGCTCCGCACTAGGGGGCACGGGTAACAGCATGGACACCAAGCGCTGCTTCGCCAAGTGCTTCGATGACTACCAAGGCAGCCTGCTGGCGGGCCAGTGTGAGGAGGCAATGGTGTCCTTGGTCACTTGCCTCTGCAGAGGTTATCTAAGTTAATTATTCTTTTAAAACACTCTACATACCTTTAATTTTTCTTCAAACGCCTTTCTCACCTAAATAAAGCCAAGTTAAATGTGTCACTTCCTCCCTAGAACAGTAGTTGGCTCCAGTGGATTATGAATGAAAGTGCTTCTCTCTCCATTCTAGTCACTATGATCCTTCAGAGTTTTGTTCTTTTTCCTATTCCACAGGAACTGGCATATTCTCTTCTAATAACCACATGCTGATTTCAAAGTGAGTCCAGGAAAAAATATGTATGTGAAAACCAATTCACTTTTAGGAGCCACTGTAAAGTTATTCATCAAGAAAAGCTGCCCTGTCAAGAAAGCTGTGGTCTTGCCCATCCTAAGCAAATATGTTTAAGTGAAATAATGCACATTCAACTACAATGGGGTACATTTCCGGGTACGTTTCCGTCTACATTTATGTATTTTTAAAGGGGACACTCCTATCAGATATGCATTTAATAAGAGCCATGGGTTGAACTGAATAGTAAGCAAGACAGTAAACACATCAGACCCACAGCTGAGCAGTTATTTTTGGTTACAGACCCAGGACTCCAGAAGCAACTTACCTCCACATCGGCCCCGAAAAGTTCCATTACTTTCTAGCACTCTTAACATTCGAGGGTGCCTCAGCTTTTGACAGCAGAGTCAAAGGAAAGGAAATCCCTTCCATTTCTGAAGTTTTCATCTTACTTGAAAGGGCCACACTGTTATCCCCCAGAAAGCTAACAGGCATCCGGGGTGATGCCACGTTCAGAGTAAAAACAGGAACGAAGCGCAGAGACGCCGAATCTCAACTAATGAGAGACTGAAAAAGGAAAGAAGACGGACAAAAGCAAGAGACAGACCTCAAGAGACTGAAGAAATGCTAGCACCACAACAAGAGTAACAAAAACATGGAGAGCAACCGCACAGTGCTGCCCGAGCCACGGAGTCCGGAAGGGAGGCCGGGCAGGCGGCGAGCGCCCTCCCGCGGCCCGGGCTACCTCTTACCTCCTGGACGAGTTTCTGCTTGAGCACCAGCGCGGCACACAGGTAACCCGCGCGGCCCACAGACAGCTCGTCGGAGCCGCACTCCAGGAAGGAGACCGGCGCGCAGACGGCACACAGAGCCCGGAACTTGCCCAGCGGCTGCACGTAGTCGGACCGGCCCAGGGCGTGGTATACGAGCGTGGCCACGGCGTACACGCCCGCGCCCCCGAGCAGGAAGGCGGCGCGGGTGTCGGCGTCCGGTTCGCCCCACTCCTCAGCGCGGGCGCACGCGTCCATGAGGCGCATAGCTGAGCGCAGGTAGCGTTCCCGGGCCGTGGCGAAAAGCGGGCTCTGCGAGACGTGGTAGAGCATATACGCCACTCCGGCCACGTCGCCATAAACCCCCCCTGGCAGCCGCTAGCCCTGGCCGTCGCCCCTCAGGCCTCGGCGCCGCCCCGAGTGGGGGAAGCTCCTGGAGGATGCGCTGGATGGTGGCGGTGACCAAGGACGCCACCGCCTCCTCGCACTGGCCCGCCAGCAGGCTGCCCTGGTAGTCATCGAAGCGATTGGCGAAGCAGCGCTTGGTGTCCATGCTGTTGCCCGTGCCCCCTAGTGCGGAGCTGAGGACCGCTTGAAGTTGTGCCCTGCAGCCCCGCACACCACCTCCGGCTCTCTGAGGCACTCGGATGGCGGTGTATGCGGCGGGGAAGGAGCGAGAAGGATGAGACGGGAGGTGACAAGAGGAGGCGGGCAAGGAGCGGATGGCCAAGTGGGGCGCCGGGTTGCTGCGAGGCTCCCGAGTGGCCCGGGCGATCGCGGGGGATGCGTGTCGTGCGCCCCCCCTCTGAGGCCGCGCCCTCGCCGAACCCGCCCCCTCCTGCGCCGCCGCAGCTTGGCTGCCTCTCCAAGGGGCCGAGGTGATCTCTGGCAGGACCCACGGGGGACCCGCGCCACTCCTCCCGCTCCGCCCCCGGCTCCTCCCCTCCTGACGGAAGGCCTGGGACCTGCGGGACACTGATCTGGGACGCTGGGACTCAGCATACACACACCTGGCGGTAGAGGTGATGGTCTCCGGTCCCTTGTATACTCAAAGTGTGGTCCTTGGGTTAGAAGCATCAGCATCACCCGGGGGCATGTTAAAAACGCAGCATCTCAGGCTTCACTCCAGACCTATTGACTCCAAATCTGAATATTCAGCAAGATTGCCAGGTGATTCGCATGCACATTAAAGTTTGAGGCGCCACTGAACTAGGCTAGAGTAGCAAGACAAAACTGGGCGCCTTCTTTGAAGTTTGTATTTCATCTTGGTCGCTTCGGAGTTCTCATTATGAATGTTTCAATCCCAAAGGCTGGGGCATTTGAGCACATCATGTTTAATGCATTAAAACGGTGAAATACCCCATACAGGAACTTTTTTCCCAGCTTTGATTTTTGTATTGTTTTCTTCGAGTATACAGGAGTAAAAAGTCAAAGAACCACACCAGGTTAAGGCAAGGAAGGGGCACGCCCCTCCTGCCATGCGTGCATAGTAAAAGCTCAATACATATCTTGAGGTCATTAACTAGTTAATATTAGGATAAACGCTCTGTGAGAATTTAATTAGGCTTTTTATCTCCCCCTTCCGTCCCTTCTTTTCCCATGTTTGTCCTCTTCTGCTTTTTTCCCAAGGGCGTTGTGGAGGGTCTCCTATGTGTCCTGAAACCTGGAAATAGATGGATGAATAAGATAGACATGGTCCTAGACCCCTTGTAGCTTACAATTCAGTAGGAAAAAACAGAAAATGAACAATTACACAAGCTAGTTGCCTTTCTTGTGCTCAGCTGTTTGAAATAATTCTGCCTTTCCCAAAGTGTTGACTCTTGAAGACTAAAGAGGTCACGTCTCCCAGGAGTATTTGACTTTTGATAGGGACTGTGCAAGACATAAAGGAGTAAGTGGCTCATAGAACAGTTTCTGATACTTTGTGGGGAGAGTAACTACTCCACTTACTTGAAAGGCCAGTTTGGAGGCATTTTTTTTTCCTCAGAAGTGTTAAATGTCACCATGATTGGGAAGCAGATATTAAATACCCTGCCCCTCCACCCTTACTTGATGTAGTCTGGGAAAGAACCTTAGTTTGCCAACATGATTGCCAGGACTGACACATCCACATAGTTCAAGGACAGTATGGCCATCGTCCCCCTTTGATGCTGCCAAAACAGGTTTATTTTTAATAATAATAATAATGATAAAAGTCCACTTTTAGGCAGGGAGCTTGATATGTTAAAGGAGGAAAAGGCATCAAAGAAGCAACAGGAATGTTGAGTTTCTCCTTGAGACTTCCTTCCTCATCCCTCAACCATAACAGACATTAGAGGTGATTTTTGTCCCCTCAGACAAGGAAACATAAAATAAAGCCTTTACCAGCAGAAATGAAGCCTTATTCCACTTCATTCCTCCACACCTCACTCACCCTTGTCATGAATCTAGAGGCAACTCTATTAATTCTGACTCTGATTATTCTTCGAAACACTCCAGCCTAGAGGTAGCACCAGCAACAACAACAGGGATCTGCTAACTGGCTTCAAAATAGAACTGTGTGTAAACACGTCTCCAAGAAAACGAGCTCTTCCACTTTTTCCCAGTTGTGTCATCTGTCTATTGCCCCAAAATGCTGTATGAAAAGCAATCACAAAATCTAATAGCATATGGCAGTAAATTTAATGTTTATGCATCTAGGATCTTGGCTGGGCTCATTCAGGTGTCTGGAGGTTGGTTGGGTCTTGCTTGGGGAGACTGAGGTGACTGGCCTCTGGCCCATATGTCTCTTCTCTTTTAGCTGGCCAACCCCAGCATGCTTGCACGGCAATGGCAGAGGGGCTAAAGCAAAAGCAGAGACATGCAAGACTTCTGAGGGTCTAGTCTCAGGACCACACACTCTTTTCTGCCTTAGTCTATTGGCAAATCACATGAGGAAATATAAGGTGTTTTTGTTGAACTTCAAATTTGCATGACAAAGGGTATGGATACAGGGTAGGGTGAAGCGTTAGGGTTCTTTGAAACCCCACCTCTAATTGTCCTATACTTAATTTGCATGCAGTGTTATTTATTTTAATATCACTACTCCACTAGAATATACTCTCCATGAGGGTAGGGCTTTTTCTTGCATTTATTTACTGATATGCAAGATCCTAGAATAGTCTCTATTCTACCACTACTACTGCTACTGCTATTGCTACTACTACCACTACTCCCTGTAGTAGATATTTACTGAAAGTTTATGAAATAATGAATGAATTACCATGAGAGTGCCATGAGAGACTTAAGGTACCCTAAAGTATAGAACACAGAGTGAGGCCTTTTTTGAAACCTTAGCCTGACATGTCTAATCTCCTCCTATATTCTTGGACCCTTTTCCTCTTGTGAGCACAAGAATGTAAACATTCTGCAGTTTTTGCTCTTGTCTGTTTCTCTACAAGATATGGTGACCTCTATACTTTACCTTGAATTCAGGGCCTTCACACATTCTACTTTTGCTAACTAACCCTGTGCTTATATTTTTCAAATATGGCCACGACAATATCTCCTATGCCACATGTTCCTCTACAATCCATGTGACCTTGACATTCCTCTCATCAGGAGGCAGGTACATGTAACCTCTTCTGAATTCTGGGTGGGCTGATACTTCATTTGTAACAAATAGAATGTGATGGAAATAACACTGTATGGCATCCAAGGCTAAATTACAAAAAGTAATGCAGCTTCCATCTTAAATGTTGCAGCACTCACATTTGGCACCTTGGGCTGCCTTGTAAGAATCTGACTACCCTGAAGCTGCCTTATCGGGAGGAAGCCCAGACAACATGAAGAGGTCACCTGGAAGTGCTTGGATTGACAACCCGAGGACAGCATCAACTGACAGCTATGTGAGTGAACCACTTTAGAAATATCCACCCCAGTCAAGCCTTCAGATTACCGCCATCCCAGACCCTTCCAGAATTCCTGACCCAAAAAATTACAAACAAAAATATAGTTGTTATAAGCCTCGAAGTTTTAGGATAATGTGTTATGGAGCAAGGTAACTGGAATGTCCTGCTAGCTTCCCATAATCCAATGCTCTGGAAGTCCCCTCTAATCAACAGTCTACACTCAACAGGGCAATGAGCAGTTAGGAAGATAAATATTTTAGAGAACTCTGGAAGACAGAGAAGTATGCAGGCACCCAAAACATTGTGTTCTGAAATAACAATTCCAGTTGGATTCTTTAAAAGTAGTGATGACCCCACAAGAAATATGCAGTCTATACAAAATCTTGCCAAGGCCATTTATTTTACCATTATCTGCAAGATTTGTCCTGATAGTCACAGAATTTCTAGCAGCATTTGCTGACAGGCAGCTCCCAACACATGTTTCTGTGATCTTGCTGAATTGCTCAGTTCCCAGTTCTTCTCAGTATGTCCTTATTATGCAGATTATGCAAAACTATGGATGGAAGAGAGTATTATTGGGTTCATCAAGGAAATCGCATAAAAATTATGCAACACTATCCAGAAAAGAGAGTATTAAAATCAGGGTTTCTCTTATGCAAATTATTGCTCTCTATGGGTGAATATGAAAAAAATCAGTAATTGTATAACTGTCAAACCTTACCAATTAAGGTTTAATACATTTTATGGGATAATGCATCTTAGAAATGCTTTCAAAAGGTTTTCCAAAGTTTTGCTCAAAGGGTGCATCCTAGAAATGCTTGAGATAACTGAATAGTGCTTTGTTCATTCCTTATAGCATATCCTCTGTGGAGACTCATCCCTATTTTATTAGATTAACAACATAATTGGAAACTTTTCCCTAATTCTGCTCTTTCCTTTGCAGTTTTCTCTCCTTGGAATACTCTTCAAAAAATTACCTCATGGCTTGCCTTTTCACCACTCTCTCAATGAGGTTTTCTCCAACTTATTATTTTAAAGTTACTGCCCTTCTGCCAATCATTAGTATCTAACAACTATATATTTTACTTACTTATTTTGTTTCCCATCTATCTCTCTCCACTAAAATTTAATCCCCATAAGAACAGGAAATTTTGTCTGTGTTGTTTCCTCTTGTATCCTCAGCATCTAGATCAATGCCTGACACATGATATATACTCAGTAGATACTTATTGATGTCTGTGATGCTCTTCATAATGTCAAAATTTTCTATCAATCCATGGCTGAGTTTTGCTGTCTGCTTTCCTGACCAGTTGCTTGATTATACACCTCTGCCACAAGCAGCCACAAAAATGTGCATTCTAACATAGGATTTTATTCTCTTTATTGTCTTTTTTCCTTCTACTTCCAGTTTTATCAATTTATAGTACTTTGTTAGCCATTATAGGCTAATCATGATTGCCAATACACGTGTAATCCCAGAATTAAAAGCCACCTGAAATGAGCAAGCAAAGTGGTACTTGCCACTCCATCTGAAGGAGGGGCAGCCGAGTTTGATTGGGTCACATTGGCCAAGAACAAGCAATGGTGCACACCCCAGCTTATTGGATGTGAAGAAAGTATAGGTCAATTATACCTTTTGGTATTACAATGTGTGTGTATGGATGAGTGATTTGAATGAAATATAATAAAACATTGCTGTATGGGACACTGCTAAAACAAGTATTCCTCCCTTGTAAACTAATGCATCTGTGTAAGATACATTAAATTGGCAAGTGGGGATATAGGTGTTCCTTTAGGTAGAGTAAATTATTTAACTGGAAATGTTTAACAGCTTCCTACATGTGGTCATTTCTAAGGTTTTCGCCAGCAGTCAGAAGGGTAGGAGGAAAAGAGTGATTATAAATTCCTATGGTGGTATAGTTCAATGGCTATTAAATAACCTAATAATAGCTTAGTGTTGATAATGCATTAACACATCTGCTTTTTGTCTTATGGTACACTAACATTTTTCACTTGTACATTCACAGTTCTCCTTATCTTAAGAAGTTCCAATGTCAAAAACATATGGTAGAAGTAATTCTCGTATACAATTTTTAGACATCTGCATGAATGCAAGAGGTGGTAGTTAAAAGAGCAGATATCTTCCAAATAATTCATATTGATTTTGACTCTGGAACGGCCATGGTCGCACTTAGCCAGCTGTTCTCAATCTGAGATGACTGCTTAACAGGACTTGACCCAGCATTCTCATGAGATACAGTAAGGGGCGATAACCAGAAAAACACAGGGTCTCAGTCCATAATCCAAAAGGTAGACAAACCAATTACCAAATGATTAAACAGAGCTAACTACTTTGGGCTGGCAAGGATTAACAGAATCATGGAGCTGGAAGTCATCTCCAAGAGATCATCTCTTTATGCCTTTCCTTTAACAATAAGGAAACCAAGGTCCATGGAAATCATACAACAGGCAATCCCTGAAAGGTTCTGAAGAGGAGAGTCGTGGGATCATATCTGTGCTTTAGAATGATGAGTTTTCTTGAAAATTAGAGAACGTATTTGAAAGGAGGACGATATGTCAGAGCAGTAAGTAGAATAATCAAGAAACGAGGAAATCTGTACTAGGGCAATAACAGGAAGGGTGGCGAGACTTGGAAGAAGTCAAGAGATCTGAAGCGAGCAGGTTTACAGGGTTTTATGAGCAACTGGATGTGGGAGTAAAGGAGGATAAAAGTCAAAGATTATGGCTGGTTTCTGCTCTGGACAATTGGGCCAACAAAGGTACTATCCACCGTGCCAAAGAATATATGCAGTGGAATATCTATTCCACTTTATGGGGCATAAAGATGAAGGAAAATAGCTAATTCAGTTTTAAAACTTGAGTGTGGCTTTACAGTCTCATGATGTAAAAAGAGAAACAATAAGGCAATAAACTGTTAACAATATGTCCCGAAGATTAAAAATTCAGTACAACTGATTAAAGAAGGTTGATAGAGGTGAGCTTTGGAAATTGGTTAATATAGGGATAGTACAGAGAAAGGCATGTAGCTGAACTTCAGAATGAGGAAGCTTGACCACCCAGCATTCATTGCCTTCTACTATCAGCAACATCTTGAGTTTATTTTGAGAAACCACCATTCCCTGTTTCTGGAACATGTGATTTAAAAGAAACTATACCATTTCCATGTCCCCAAGGGGGAGCATATATCCCAGGTCTGCCCAAGGAGAAGCAATCCTGAGCTTTCTTGGCTAAAACCATTGGGAAAGCTAAGATTCCTAATGTAGAAGGATTAAACCTACAGCTACTGCTGGCTCTCTTATGACTGCAAGGTGAAAGCATGCTGAGGATTAAACCACACAGAGGAAAGCAGAACTGAGTAATAAAAAAAGTATGACATGCTATAACAAGATGTCTTAGAATAAAAAAGAAAAAATAATAAACCAATAAAACAAAAATTATAATAAAAAAGGAAAAAAGTATGACAAAAAGTGTGACCCAATGACATTATTAAAATGCCTGCATCTGGCCTTCCCTGAAAGACTATTCAATTATGGAACCCAGTACATTCCTTCTTTTACTTAAATGGGGGTCTGTCACTTGCAAAAGAAGGAGACCTGGAATAATTCAGCGTTATTTAACCTTCCTAAGCCTTGGTTCTCTCATCTGTAAATTGGTAAAGACAATGGAATCTTTCTCGAAGGTTGGTTAGGATAATGCCTATAAAGGGATTAACTTGATGTCTAGCTCTGAATAAATGTTAACATTTGTCCAAAATCATTATTATTCTGTATGTAGTTGCTTTGAGAAGTGGATTATCACTGCCTGCTTATCGCCTAACCTCTTGCATCTTCCTCTTTTTCTAAGTTGGTTCTCCTTAGAAAAGAGTCATAGGTTTTTGGTTTGTTTGTTTGTTTTGCTTATTCTTTCTCAATGATTCCTAAATAAAATGTGTTCCATTTACAAGCCTAGCGATTTTTTTTAGGGTGACAAATTCAACTTCTAAGGTGAGAAAAGAAATCATCTTGTGTTTTTCAGCTTTTATGTGATCACCAGTAATAAAGATTCAAGTTGACAAATTGTGTTGCTGATGCATGAGACAGAATAAAGTTAATCTTTTCAAGGCTATCTGGTTCTGCAGCAGAAAGAGTAAACAGGAAAGTAAAAACATGTGACAGAAAGCTATGTGGGTGAGCAGATCTGCAAAGAGAGGATAAGCAGAAAACATCTGAGGGGGGACTCTTAGTTGTTTTCAATCTTTTAAGTTCCATAGAAGTTTCCCACAGTTGATCTTTACCAAGCTCTCACAACTTTGGGGGAAAAAACCTCTGCAAGATGTCCTTGGATATTTAGTTATTAGAGCTCCTTCTGGAAAGACTGAACAAGAAATTTGCTTTATTTTTGGCTAGAAGGTATACAAACCAAACTTAGTTGAGAAATAAAATGAGTGTCTTCAGCTTCTAATTTTATTTTCTCTTTCAATTAAGATGTTCCAGAAAATTATTAATAGTATATTTCTGTGTGCCATCCAAATGGGTGGCTTACTCATATTTACTTGAAATTCACAATTAGAACCTCCACATAACTCAATCTCCAGGCCACCACTACTCAGTAAAATTGGTTTTTATTTAGTTAGTGACTTTCAACACTCCCCCCCTCCTTTCTTGGCCAAGAAACTGCACAGTTGGATTTTGAGTTTTGCATGAGACATACAAAATTTGAATTCAGATAGAGTACTAGTGATGCAGAAGTGGTAAGTAGGTAAGTACATATAAATGGTGAATGTAAAGGCATTCAAAAGATCTAGTCTTTTAAAAAAGGGAACCTGGAGATAAGTCAATGAAATAGAACATCATAACAGTGTAATAGGCTCCTGCTTCCAGAAAAATGTCATGGAAAAGTAAAGAGATTTATTTTGTACCAATATTTATTTTTAAAACTGAGGTCTATTATTTCCTCTAATGGTTTTATTTCATTTCCCAAATGATTAAATATAAATAAAGTGAGACCATTTATTTAATACAAGCTGACTCTGGTTTCTGATGCAGGCTAAGTATACAACCCAAAAAAAAGAGATGTGGAGTGTGAGGCTAGCTAACAGGTTACTATCCAGACATCTCCTCTGTTTTTCCCAATTAGCCAAAACAGCATGAGGCCCATTATTTTCCTGTCCATAAAACCAAAAATAAAGAGGAGGATTTTCTTTCCTGGGAATTATATTTGTATATATTCTCATTATTATTTTAAAGTTCCTCTTTTTCATAAAATATTTGGGAGAAGAAAAATGCACTGAACCTTAGATTTATGTACTCCTAGATTTGTAAAGCTTTAAAGTATCATCTAATATTATCTACCACTCAAACCAGGGATCTCTTTGTATCCATTAGGATTAGCTTTAGTTGCATCAAAAATAAAAATAGAAAAAAATTGTAAGCACAATAGAAGTTTATTTCTCTCTCCTATTAAAAAAGCCCAAGATACAGAGAGTGACATCATAAAGTAGCAGAATGGGAAGCATTAGATCCTCCTTCCCGCCATGGAGACAGATTTGGCAATAAAACATGGAACAACTCCCTCTGTGAGAAATCCAGAAACCAGTTAAGGGGCTCCTGCACTCCAGAGAAGTGCAAAGGCACTCCAGGCCTATATGAAAATTCATGGCACTCATGCTATAATCTCTCCCCCAATAGAGTGCCATATGCTTGAGAGAAAACTCCCAGCTTCTAGTTTCTGGCTTCTCCCTGGGGAAGGAAATAAAAGACTGGACTGTACTTCCAATGTTTTTACTTTCCAGGGGGCTGGATGAGGAACTGGCTTTTGCCCACCTGTCTGGGAGCACTAACAGGGGCAAGCACATTCTAGATACCTGGGGGACCGTGACAACAAAAAAGAGCTGTGCATCACGCTGCTGCTACCCAGGAATCATGGTACGGCAGACAGAGGTCAATAGAGTTTGGCAGTTTCTTATTCAGGGAGAAATAGAAGAGTAGAGCATGTGTTCAACATCTGGCTTTTCATGGAGCTGCCTGAGGTACTGGTTTCTGTCTATCTTGATGTGGGGAGCTGACAGAACCCAGCATACTTTAGATACCTGGGGTTCCACTGCAAGTAAAAAAAGGGCTAGACTGTATGGTCATGTTTCTGCTTCAGATGACCCATGGTGAAACAAAAAGACACAGAAGGAGCAAGAGATTACAAGCTCCTTAAAACAAGAAACTGGCAAATCCCTCTAATTAGGAATCTGCACACATGTCTAGAGAAGACACATTCACAGAAAAGACTTGAGAGGCCCCCAGAATCTCTAGCCAGGCTTATAGGTTAAGATCTTTCCATGTATAAAGCTAATCCTTAGAGACTGGGAGAGGTGGCTGATTTTTCAAATACCCAGATACCAACACAAAATCACAAAAATTACAAGACACAGGGGAAAATGGCCCAGTGGGGAAAATAAAATAAAACTCCAGAAATTGAACTTAAAGAAACAAAGAGATATGAATTACCTAAAAATGAGTTAAAAATACCTGTCATGAAGATTTTTAATGAGTGTAGAAAAATGATGCATGAACAGAATGACAATTTCAAAATAGAGATAAATTTTTTTAAAAAAAGAACAAAGCAGAAATTTTTGAAGCTTAAAGATGCAATAACTACAGTGATAAAAGAAATCACTGGAAGGGCTCAACAGCTGACTTGATCAGGGAGAAAAAAGAATCAGTACACTCAAAAATATGTAATCTGAAATTATGCAATAAGGAACAAAAAGAAAAATGTATGAAAAAGAATGAACAAAATCTAAGGGTCTTATGGGACACTATCAAACAGACCACTGTATGCATTATGGAAGTTGCAGAGGGAAAAGAGAAAAAGAAAAGGAAAAACAGTTTCTTTAAAAATTAATGGCCCCAAACTTCCCAAATCTGGGGAAGAAAAAAGACATCCAGATTCTAGAAGCCAATGGAGCTCAAAAAAGATGAATCCAAAGAAATCCATGTAAGATACATTATAATTAAATTGTCAAAGTCAAACACAGAGAATTTTGAAAGCAAGAGAAAAGCAATTTGTGCCACACAAGAGAACCTCAGTAAGACTCAGAGGATTTTTCAGTAGAAACCTTGCTGACCAGGAGTGGGATGATATATGTACAAAGTGCTGAATGGGAAAAAAAAAAAAAAAAAAAAAAAAAACTTGCTGACCAAAATACTATACTTAGCAAAACATTTCTTTAAAAATGAAGGAGAGCTAAAGACGTTCCAAAATAAACAAAATAAAAGTGGAGAGAGTTCATCCCCACCACACCTGCCTTACAAGAAATGCTAAATGGAGTCATTAAAGTTGAAATGAAAAATGCCAAGCAGCAAAATGAAAGCATATAAAAGTATAAAGCTGTCTGGTACAGGTGACTATACATAAATACAGAATACTGTAATACTGTATTGGTGGTGCACAAATCACTTTTAATTTTTGTATGGAAGTTAGAAGACAGAAGTATAAAAATAACTACAACTATAAAATACGTTAATAAATTAAAAATGTTTGAACAAAACAAGATTCAGTTATATGCATTCTACAAGAGATCTACTTTATATTTAAAGACACACACAGGCTGAAAGTGAAAGGATGGAGAAAAGATATTTCATACAAATGATTATAAAAAAGAAAACACAACATACCAAAACTTATGGGGTACAGCTAAAGTAATACTAAAAGATGCTAAAAGAAAAAAATATAGCTGAATTAAATTCAAAAGAGTTCAACAGAGCAAAGAGTGGTTCACGAATTGGGCAGTCTCCTGAGCCAGAGTAGGCTCAGAGATTCTAGCACAGTCAGGTGGAAGAAGAAGATTTATGGATACGGAAAGGAAACTGACGTACAGAAAACCAAAGTGAGGTACAGAAACAGTCAGATTGGTTACAGCTCATAGTTTGCCTTGTTTCAACATGATTCAATTGATTGGCTAAAGCTTGGTGATCGGCACCAAAGTAGGCTATGGTCTGTATACAACTCCATTTTGGTTATACTTCACAATGTACAGAGAAACCTTTAGGCTGAACTTAAAATATATAAGGAGGCAGCTTTAGGATAAACTTGAGTTAACAGAGATAAGTTGATAACAATACATGCCTGCATTAAAACTGAAGAAATATCTCAAATAAACAATCTCAGTCTATACCTAAAGGGATTAGAAAAAGGACAAACTAAGCCCAAAGTTAACAGAAAGAAGGAAAGAACAAAGATTAGACCAGGAATACATAAAATAGAGAATAAAAACAATAGAAAAAATAAATGAAAAAAGATTTGGTGTTTTTAAAAGATCAAGAAAATTGGCAAACCTTTAGACTAAGTAAAAAAAAAAGACACAAGATACAAATAAATAAAATCAGAAAACGATGAGATGGTGTTACAACTGACGCCATGGAAATAAAAGGATTACAAGAGACTACTGTGAGCAATTATATACCAGATCCAGGACCTCTAAGTTTATCTTGGGACCTTAAGAGACAAGGATCGCCCAACTCACAGGTATTTGAGATTAAACCCATGGCTGGGCTCAGCTTTAAAAGGTCTTACCTGAGATCCCTTGGGGAATAGAGCTCCATCAAAGCCAGTCCAAAAGACCTATGTAGAAAGAATCATTCTTGCTGCACTTTATGCAAATAATCAGGCCAAGTATAAGACTAAGGTCTGTTTCAAAAACCGCCAGTCCTATGATGATTTGTTTTTTTAACAAACATGAGGACTGGAGAGAGAGAAATTATGTTCCAAAACTTATCATACATTTGTCATTAAATTCTAAATGCACTAGTTGTTTTTAAGTTTTCACTTACCTTTTAGACTAACCCTGCTTGTTCCTGTGAACCAACCAGCAATCTCTGGCTCCAGCTCAGAAAGAACAAGAGGGATGGATAATGTAAAAATCTGGATCAATATTCTAATTCTGAGCAATTATCCTGCAAATCCTGCCAGGGGATTGGAATCAATAGGATGCTCATTACTCGGAGGTTTCCTTTTGGGAAAGTAAGAACAAGCCAGCTAACCAAAGACAAACACCATGCACCCAAATCCTAGCAAGCATAACTATAGCCACCAGGTGTTTGGGTGTGTCACAGGACATCCTTTTCTCTCTCCCTTGTTGGAGGAGGACTCAGTTCCACAGTTTCACCTTAGCATTCAGCTTATGATAAGGAGTCCATGCAACACCCCCATGAGATACATTTTTGTCCCAAACTAATTCCAAGCTTTGAGTCAAAGCCCTAGGAAAGAAAACTGGATCTAAGGGATCCAGAGGCAGACGACAACGGAGGTTAAAAGGCACAGTGCACGTGAGTGTGGCTGATTCCTGCCGATTAAGCCAAGCCCAAGCTTCCTGTTTCATGGATAAAGGCCACATTAGTATCCATGGCATAAATGAGGTCTAGAGAATTCAAGGCTACCGATAGCAGGGAAGATAGGGCATACGTGGGAAGGAGCAGATGATTCCCACCCGTTCGACCCCCTGCTTCATGGGTGCAAGCCGCTTTTACACTCATGGCCACATCTGCCAAGGTTGACAGGACTTGGGGATGCAAGGACAGAAGAGGCAAAGAGGACTCTCTTCCCTGTCTCTCTCACGTACCTCGGGTATCTGTCAGGCAGAGAAGGGAACCAGGGATGCCTGCTCCCCTCTTTCTAGATGGGTAGCCATTCATCTTCAGTCTGTACCCCTTTCGAATGCATCCTGAACCCCTGGGACTCCTTTGAAAAAAAAAAGTATCTTATTTTTTCTTCTCTCCTCCTCTGTCCTCTCTTCACTAATAGGTAATTGTGTCCCTGTACTATGGAGCACTTCCCTCAGATGCATCCTCCAAACTGGAAAGAGTTAATTTCCCAAACTTTAAACTGGTTGGCTTGGGGTTAGGCTCAGGGGAGGGGGAACCGAGAAGCCCAACATACTGGCAAATGGGTGAAGTATTTTACCAGCTGGGAATTTGGTCTCCCCGTCCCCATGCAAACTGGTAAAAGGGCCTTATAAGTTTTGAGCTGTTGTTACCCTTCCCCTTGTTTCGTTTTGATACATGTTTCCTTTTTTCTTTTTTGAGGAGGAGTCTCGCACTGTTGGCCAGGCTGGAGTACAATGGCGCAATCTTGGCTCACTGCAACCTCCGCCTCCCGGGTTCACGTGATTTTCCTGACTCACCCTCCCGAGTAGCTGGGATTACAGGCACACACCACCATACCGTACTTTCTAGATGGGTAGCCATTCATCTTCAGTCTGTACCCCTTTCGAATGCATCCTGAACCCCTGGGACTCCTTTGAAAAAAAAAAAGTATCTTATTTTTTCTTCTCTCCTCCTCTGTCCTCTCTTCACTAATAGGTAATTGTGTCCCTGTACTATGGAGCACTTCCCTCAGATGCATCCTCCAAACTGGAAAGAGTTAATTTCCCAAACTTTAAACTGGTTGGCTTGGGGTTGGGCTCAGGGGAGGGGAACCCAGAAGCCCAACATGCCAGAAAAGGGTAAAATTTTTTACCAGACGGGCTTTTGGCCTTCCTGTCCCCATGCAAACTGGTAAAAGGCCTTAGAATTTTTGAGCTATCCCTACCCTTCCCCTTGTTTCGTTTTGATACATGTTTTCTAATAACCCAGTTTGTCTTGCCTTCAGGCCATCGAACTCCAAAGGGTCATGCAAACAGAGCCTCTGATGATGGCCCCTTCTGCTGGGAAGCCTTAGGCCTCTGAGGGAGATCTGATAGCCTTTTCTCCAAAACAACGCCCCGGTCAGCAGGAAGCAGTTAAGGTCGGTTTTCATCCTTATCCTTTTCCTTATTCTAACAGGAGTTAGATGTACTTCTTTAGAGGGGCGAATGAGACAGCCAGGTGGGAAGGGGCCCCCCAGGAAAACACCAACCAGCCTGCACACTGGGGTGGAGACATAGGAATTTGCGCCCTTTGCAGCAGTGAGGAGCCTGGCCCCACCTCTCCCTGTGTGGAAACTGGGATTCAAACAGCATGAGGTGGTAAGTGCACCGGCAGGAACTCTGGCCTTGCGGAGATTCCCCATTCTCCCTTTTTCCCTTTTCACTCAATAAAACCCTGCTTTGCTCACCGTTCAAACTATCTGGGAGCCTAAATTTTCGTGGCCATGGGACAGACAAGGAGCTAGTCTTTAGCTGAACTAAGGACAAGTCCTGCAACACTGAGAGCAGCTACTGGTGGCAGAGCATATGACTGTGTTGTATGTGCAGGTATTGTAACATTGCTTAGCATTCCGAAGACCTTAAATCACTGTCAAGGACTAAAAACTCCAATGATGACTGGAAATATCTGTTCCACATCCAAAATAATCTATTTAGAATTGCTTCCCTAGTTCACCAGGTCTCTATCAAATATCAGTGTTTTTAGTTCCTTCCAAATCATCACTTTGGCCTCTAATCTAATGTATTCCTGAATTATGCTGTAGAGAAAAATGCAATTTCCATTATGTCGGTCTCCCTCCTTAAGTTTTTCTTCCTCACATCAAACATCTCTAACATTTAGAAAAAGACAATAGTTTGTAAATGAATCCAGGTGCACAATTGTCCAACTCATGAAAATAACTTCCTAAATCATTATTCATTGATAAATATATTGACCAAATCAATGTAAGTATTTCAGTTGATCAGTTTGTCTACAGAGATTGTGGCTACAAAATGAAAAATCACATTCAGCTTATTCATTTGTTATAAATGTAAAAAGAGCAATGGAAATAGGAATCACGATATTCTATGCAAAACCAGAAGTCTACTTTATTTTTTCCCAGAGACACTGATGGCTGATTTTCCTAGCCATGTTATTAAATATAATTGGTTAGATTACATTCTAAATTAAACCAGTTCATTGGAGTAAACCTCTGTATGGGACACTTGGCATCATAAAGCTGTTTCACAGCTGGATGATGTAGAATAGCCTTCAGACTCTTTGTAAAGGTGTACCGTTAGATCAAATGAACACACAGGTAGTAATATTATATTAGAACTATTTCTGTAAAATCACAACTAAATTAACATTTTGTAAAAGGTTCAATAATATCTTAGAAAACTGTGGTGTGTTCACATGTGTATTGAATGCATGCATTTGCGTATACATATTAGGCTTTGATCACTAATGTTAAAACCAGCTCAACTTTGGACCTTTAGTGAATTGTGGTTTTAACATAGAATTAACAACCTGTATTTCAAAATTGAGGTAAAATGGTAACAATCTGTCTGTAAATATACTAATATTGCATATTTTTGCCTGCTCTTCCAATGTTGGACATTAGCCAGGTAAGGTGGACACTACTGAGAACATAGCTTTGAGCTGGTTATGTGTGTATGTGTACAGCACTCTGCGAATTGGTAATTCTATAAAAGATGGAAATTTTGCATTAGAAGCCAAGAAATAAGATTAAATCAGCACTAGTGGACAACTGAGATTATTGATTATTCTACATTATTCATATCCATGATATGAAGTGATTCTGGAATTATTTTGCTAGCTACTAGAAAATAAGCTAAGACTAATGACAGCTTGTTGAATGCATCTGCAAAATTCCATCAATAGGAAAGCAAGAACAGTCTTTTTTAATTAAATCAGAGAATATGACACAGTAACAGTTACCTGTCCTCTAAGTTTTATTACTTTAACAACACACAAAATTGCCAAGATTTTAGCCATTTGTGAAGTCCTCTAACTATATACTAGAGAGCGTCATTGAACCACCTGAACCACCTTATAAAATAGAGCTGCCTCTGCTCGATTATTTTCTGAATATTGCAATCTATTTATATTTGTGAATTGAAACAATGGACCAGATGATAAATATGCATATAAGGAGACAGGAATATTGTCATTTTTTCTGGAATTTATCTATACCAGAAAATAGAATGAATCTTCTAGAAATATGAAAAATACTAGCCTGACACTGTTTATTCTTACTTTTTGAGAACTCGTGTAAGTCATTTGTTCTATTTTGCCTCAAGTTCTTTATTAATAACAGTAGTGCTGGACTATATCCTGTATGAAATACTGTGATCAAATTATTATGTATCCAGGGATTTCAGCCTTTGGCTGTGAATCATTATCAATGGGAGGAATTTTGATTCTGCAGGCTCAGGGTAGAACCTTGGCATATATACTCTTAAGATGGGCCACAAATGATTCTGATATTCAACCAAGGTATGGAATAATTCTTCTATGTTTTTTGATTCAATGAACAAAATGGAAATCTTTAAGTCTATATTATTTCTTATGCCTTAACTATATTTTATACTTTGCTGAGAAAAAGTGTCAGTGGGTATAGCAGTGGTAAAATTGCTGCAGGGAGTATCATTATAAGACAAGATATGAACATTGTTACGGGTAGAAAAATGATCAAAATGAATAGTGTATTAATCAAGGTTCTCCAGAAAGATAAGAAAATATTAGGAGATATATGTGTGTGTGTGTGTGTGTGTGTGTGTGTGTATGTGTGTGTGTGTGTGTATATATATATATATATATATATGAAAATGCTCTGTACAGTCTTTGCAGCTGGTTAATAAATCAAAAATTATTCAAAAACAAAAGATTTCCAATTTAAACTATATATTGCATCATGATAAATTATCAGCAGTCTAGATGTTGCTATGGAGGTATATATAAATATATGTATACAGAGAGAGAGAGAGAGAGAGAAATTTTAAGGAATTGGTTTATGCAACTGTGGGGGTTGGCAAATCCAAAATCTGTGGACCTGGTTGTAGGTTAGAAATTCAGGCAAAAGTTGATGTTGCAGTCTTGATTCTAAAGTCTGGAAACTCAAACAGATCCGTCTTCTTGGGGGAACTTTTGTCTTTTTCCTGAAGGCCTTCAACTAACTGGATGATGCTCACCCATCCTATGGAGGGTAAATCTGATTTACTAAAAGTCTACTGATATAAAATGTTAAATGACAGCTTAAAAATACCTCCACAGCAACATCTAGACTATTTGACCGAATAATTGGGCACCATAGCCTAGCCAAGTTCACACAGAAAATTAATCATCACAGAAAGTAAACTTACCAAGAGCTAATAAAAGCAAAATAATTCCAAAGTGGGTTGGATCAGAATGAAAATGATTGGGTATCTGAAAAAGGCTGGCAGGTGCCGCATGTGGGTGGAAGAGCCAGCAAGGTTGCAGATAATGTGAGTCTGCTGGAGCATAAAAATGGTGTCCGGAGTTAAGTCTGCAGTAAATGTTGTAGGTAACTAAGAGCAGTCAGAGGCACACGAAGATGTCAGAACTGGTACTACTTAGGCTCCATTAAACCAATGCACTTCATCACATTGATTTTCATTGTTTAATTTTCTTATACACTTATTCATTACATGCTGCTCTGCTCAGAGCATTTTGACTTCCTTGAACATTTATTTATTAGCTTGTTGGTGTTCATTTTGCTTGTAAGCTACATTATTCATTTCTGGAGTAACACTTCATACTAAGGCAGTTGTTGCTTGTTGATTGAACAGGCCAGTTGTAATTTCTCTGAACTCTATAGTGATGTCAGTTTTCTTTAACCCAAGAAGGGCTGTTTGCACAAGTAAGTTGCTTTCACTCCTAGTTGTTTTTTCACTGCCAGTCAGGTACTCACCAAACTTTGTATCTTCTTTAGTCTTCTATCATGACTTCATTATCCTGTGGGTCCACCAGTTATGTACGTGTATCTAAGTGAATTATTTTGTCCACGGGCTCTACTATCTGATTTTTACATTCCCATATAGCACTTGCTGAAATTTAATTTTCTCCAAATTTGGTGACTTTGGATAATACCATAACTACTGTGGTTTTTAAACTCTTTGAAAGTCTTTGCGGCCTATAAAAAGCACAGGGCTTTAGAAAAGTAATTCTCACATATTGGTGTGTATAATTTAGAGACCATGTAAAATGTAGATGACTGGCTCCACTTTGAAAAAATTATGATTTACTATATATGAGGACAGAGGGGCCACAAGTATGCATTTTAAAGAAGCTACATCTTTCTCTCTTATATGATTAATAGTGATTTGCTGATAATTTATCATGATGCAATATATAGTTTAAATTGGAAATCTTTTGTTTTAGAATAATTTTTGATTTATGAACCAGTTGCAAAGACTGTACAGAGCATTTTCATGCACATTTTACCCAGCTTCCCCTAAAATTAATATCTTACATTGTACATGCATTTAAACTAAAAAATTAACATTGACATATTACTATTAACTAAACTTCAGACTTTATCCAGATTTGTAGATTTTTTATACCCATGTCCTTTTTCAGTGTCAGGATCCAACTCAGCCTACCACATTGAACTTAGTTTGAATGTCTCTTTGATCTAAAGTCTATGACCGGTTCTCTGCCTTTAATTTTTTCCCATGACCTTTATGATTTTGAGGAATACTTGAGAATTTTGTAAAATGTCCCTGGACTTGGGTTTGTTATATGTTTTCTCCTCATTAGACTAGGATTCTGGAATTTAGAGAAGAATGCTACAGAGATGAAGTGTCTTTCTCATCACATCCTATCAGAGTAGTGCATGATACCAATGTAATGTCTCACTGCTGATATTAACATTGATCACTTGCTTAAGGAGAGAACTGCCAGGCTTCTCCACTAAAAGGTCACTATTTTTCCCTTTCCATATTCCATTTTTTAGAATCCAGCCCACACTCTGGGGGGGGGGGCATTTAAATTCCACCTCCTGGAGGGAGGAGTATCTATGTACATTTTTTAAAATTCTTCGGGAGACAGATTTGCATCTTTTTTTTCATTTATTTATTTGTACAATCATTTATATCAGTATGGACTCATGGACATTTTATTTTATATTGTGTTATAATTTTTAAATTTTAGTTCTCATGTTGCTTAAATTGTTTTAACTTTGGGCATTGAGTGCTCTTTCAGCTTGGCTCCTGATCTGCTTTTATTCTTTTGTTTTCTGAGAACTTCCTATTTTCTTGCATTACATAATACTCCAGGCTCATCTTGTGTTTTCACTGCCCCAGGCCTAGAATTACTCATTTCTCCAAGGATGTCTCGTTTTGCTTTTGTTATTTTGGATAATTGTATTTAGAAACCAAGATCTGGGCACTGGATGTACTTTTTGCTACTTGGATGTCATTTTTTTTCTAGTTTATCAGCAGACAGAGCTATAAAATATATGCATGTATACTAACCAATATGTGCACACAACTATATTTATTTCTTTACCTATATATCTCTATACATGTTAAACTACTATGTATTATACATTTTGTTTTGTGTTCTCTGTTGTCTTATTAAGTTTTTTGTTTTGTTTTGTTTGTTTGTTTGTTTGTTTGTTTGAGGTGGAGTTTCACCCTTGTTGCCCAGGCTGGAGTGCAGTGGCGCGATCTCGGCTCACCGCAACCTCTGCCTCCCAGGTTCAAGCGATTCTCCTGCCTCAGCCTACGGAGTAGCTGGGATTACAGGCATGCGCCACCATGCCTGCCTATTTTTTCTATTTTTAGTACAGACAGGGTTTCACCGTGTTAGCCAGGATGGTCTCAATCTCCTGACCTCGTGATCCGCCCGTCTCAGCCTCCCAAATTGCTGGGATTACAGGCGTGAGCCACCGCGCCCGGCCGTCTTATTGTTAAGTTTTAATAATTATTTATGTATTCTGGATATGAGTATTTTGTATAATATTCTACTTTGTAAAGTGGAAAAAAATGAAGTGGCTGTAAAGTACAAAAACTGTTTTAATGAACAGCCACATGAAAAATTTTGAAGATGCCCAGTTGACCTTTAGGAGCTTCAATGTGTGTTTTTCTCTGGGAATATTTAGAATATAGAAGTTTTATTCAAACCCTCACCCACTTTAGATAAGTGAGAACTCATATGAGCTTGCTAGTTAGAGTACTGTTATAGAGAATTGTTGAAATATTGGCTCTTGAATTTAACATACATTCCATGGAATTTTTCCAAGTGAGAAAGTTAAAAACAAATCCATATCAAAATGGTCTTACCAACTTCACATTATGAAATCTACTAAATGTGTTGACAGTTTAACAGATTCTTATAATTGATAAATGAAAATATTTGTGACATATAAATAGATCTGTATGATTTCTGCTTCCCCTTTATTTAGACACTGAAAGTAGAATATTTTTATTTTCAAATAGTAGTAATCCTATATAAAATAACAATACTTTACTGGATGCTTATTCTGTGCCAGGCACTATACAAAATCATGTTATATAGATTATCTTGATTTACACATAAACCATTTATTAGCGTTAATGGGAAACCTAAGAGGAATATATATTGTGTCTATTTTACAGAGGAGGAGCCACAGGGAAGAGAGGCATTGATCATGCCTTATTTACAAGGAGGAACTAGGGTATACCTGCTAGTAATGGTAGAAAACATTGTTCAGCTGCACTTAACAAGGGAAATAAGAAATATTTCTTTTAAAAATGGACAAGAATGTACAGAAAAAATTATTATGTGATTAGAAAATAATATGGTTAAGGAATAATGCAAGCTGAATTTGTCTATAATTACATTTTTTATAAAAAAATCTTTTTCATAGATATAGTTTTAAACACCATAAGAGAGAGAAAAATTTCACTGATGTTATTCAAAGGAAAATCAAGGATCGCAACTGGACTGAGCAGAGGGGATGAAGATATTCAATTTGGAAAGAAAGAAGGGAAACTGTCTTTATTCACAGATGACATTATCATATATATAGAAAATTCAGTGAAATCTACAAAAATGCTCCTGAAAGTAATAAGTGAGTTTGTAAGGTTGTATGATACAAGATGGATATACAAAACTCAATATTTATATATACTAACAACAAAAAATTGGAAATTGCAATTTAAAAATACTACATATAATAGTATCAAAAGCAATATTTAGAAAAAATCTGGGGAGAAATTATGTGAAAGACATATGCACTAAAAAATACAAAATATTCCTGAGAAGATTAAAAATCACGTAAACAAATGGGAAAATGTACCTTTTTCAGTGGTCAGAAGACTTCCTATTTTTAATATGTCAATTACCCACAAATTTATCTACAGATTCAAAAGAATCCTAATTGAAATCCCAACGGAATTTTTTTTAGACATTGATAAACTGATTTTAAAGTTTCTGTAGAAATTCAAAGGACCTAGAAGAACCAACTTTGTAAATGAACATTGTTAAAGAACTAATACAGCCTAATTTCTAGGTTTATTTTAAAGTTAAAGTAATCAACAGAGGGTGAAATTTGTGTGAGAGAAAAATCTGGAAGACAAAAGAGTGCCAAGAAATTGACCCACAAAAAAATATACACAGCTGATATTCTACAAATTTCCAAAGGTAATTCAGTGGAGAAAATATAGTCTTTACTGAAATTACCAGATATACACAGGCAATAGACACATTTTTTTAAAAAGTACTTTGATCTATATCGTGTGCTGTTTACAAATCTTTAAACAAATTTAAATTTAAAAAAATCTTTGTGACCTTTGGATAGGCAAAGTTTTCACAGATACATCAAAAGAAGCACAATCTGTAAAAGAGCAAATTAATAAATTGGACTTCATCAAATAAAAAAAAACTTCTCTTTGATAGACACTGTTAAGACAATGAAAGGGAAAAGCCAACGATGAAGAGAAAAATTTGCAAATCATATAGATGATAACGGACTTAGATGTAGAACAGAACAAGAATTTTCAAAACTAAATATGATATCCAGCAACACAATTTAAAAATGGGGGAAAAATCCACAGAAACTTCAACCAAGGAGAGATAAGGATGGCAAATAAGCAAATATAGAGATGTTCAATATCAGTAGTCATTAGGAAACGCAAATGAAACCCAGAATGAGATTCTACTACACACCTGTTAGAATCTGGGCTGCGCAGGTGGCATCAGCGCTGCTCCGCCTCCAGGAAGGAACCTGGGCTGCGCGTGGCTGGCGGTCTCCTAGCGACTAGAGCGTCAGGGATCAGGAACCGCGGAAACTGGAGAGGTGGCACCCCAGCGAGGGCCACCATGGGGGACCAGAGGCCGCAGGACCGGCCCAGTTCCCCGGGCATGGACTCCACGCCCTGGTACTGTGACAAACCGCCTTCCAAGTACTTCGCGAAGCGCAAGCACAGGCGCCTGAGGTTCCCGCCTGTGGACACCCAGAACTGGGTATTTGTGACGGAGGGCATGGACGACTTCCGCTACGGCTGTCAGTCTCCTGAAGATACGCTTGTTTGTCGCCGTGACGAGTTTTTACTCCCCAAAATATCTCTCAGAGGTCCCCAAGCTGACCCCAAAAGCAGGAAGAAAAAGCTGCTCAAGAAAGCGGCCCTGTTTTCCAAGCTCTCGCCAGCACAGCCAGCACGGAAGGCGTTCGTAGAGGAAGTGGAAGCCCAGCTGATGACCAAGCATCCCTTGGCCATGTACCCCAATCTGGGAGAAGATATGCCTCCAGATCTCCTACTACAGGTACTGAAACCGCTGGACCCTGAGAGGAAGCTGGAGGACGCAGGCTCTTGTGAGGGCCAGGAGAAGACAACTGACGAACCCACGGAGCCTGGTAAATACCCCTGTGGGGAATTCTCCCCTCGGCCTCCCGAGACTCGGGTGTCCTGTCTCCCCCCGGAGCCTCCCAAGACTCCGGTGTCCAGTCTCCGCCCGGAGCCTCCAGAGACTGGAGTGTCCCATCTCCGCCCACAGCCTCCCAAGACTCAGGTGTCCAGTCTCCACCTGGAGCCTCCAGAGACTGGAGTGTCCCATCTCCGCCCAGAGCCTCCCAAGACTCAGGTGTCCAGTCTCCACCTGGAGCCTCCCGAGACTGGAGTGTCCCATCTCTACCTGGAGCCTCCTGGGACTGGAGTGTCTCATCTCTGCCCAGAGCCTCCCAAGACTCGCGTATCTCATCTCCATCGGGAGCCTCCTGAGACTGGAGTGCCTGATCTCTGCCTGGAGCCTCCCAAGTCACGCGTATCTCATCTCCGCCCAGAGCCTTCTGAGACTGGAGTGTCCCATCTCCACCCAGAGCCTCCCAAGACTCTGGTGTCCAGTCTCCACCCAGAGCCTCCCGAGACTGGAGTGTCCCATCTCTGCCCGGAACCTCCAGAGACTCGCGTATCTCCTCTCCGCCAGCTGCCTCCCGAGGCTGGAGTGTCCCATCTCTGCCCGGAACCTCCCAAGACTCGCGTACCTCCTCTCCGCCCAGAGACCCCCAAGAATGGAGTGTCTCCTCTCTTCCCGGAGCCTCCCAAGACTCGCATATCTAATCTCCGCTCGGAGCCTCCCAAGATTGGAGTGTCCCATCTCTGCCTGGAGCCTCCCAAGACTCGCGGATCTCATCTCCGCCCGGAACCTCCTGAGACTGGAGTGTCCCATCTCCGCCCAGAGCCTCCCAAGACTCGGGTGTCCAGTCTCCACCTGGAGCCTCCTGAGACTGGAGTGTCCCATCTCTGCCCGGAGCCTCCAGAGAAGGACGTATCTCATCTCCGCCCAGAGCCTCCCGACACTGGAGTGTCCCATCTCTGCCCAGAGCCCCCCAAGACACGCGTATCTCATCTCCGCCCAGAGCCTTCTGAGACTGGAGTGTCCCATCTCCGCCCAGAGCCTCCCAAGATTCTGGTGTCCAGTCTCCACCAGGCACCTCCTGAGAGTAGCGTATCTCATCTCCGCCCAGAGCCTCCTGAGACTGGAGTGTCCCATCTCCGCCCAGAGCCTCCCAAGACTCGGATGTACAGTCTCCGCCCGGAGCCTCCCGATACTGGAGTGTCCCATCTCTGCCCAGAGCCTCCCAAGACTCGGGTGTCCAGTCTCCCCCCGGAGCCCCCCGAGACTGGAGTGTCCCATCTCTGCCCGGAGCCTCCAGAGACTCGCGTATCTCATCTCCGCCCAGAGCCTCCTGAGACTGGAGTGTCCCATCTCCGCCCAGAGCCTCCCAAGACTCGGATGTACAGTCTCCGCCCGGAGCCTCCCAATACTGGAGTGTCCCATCTCTGCCCAGAGCCTCCCAAGACTCGGGTGTCCAGTCTCCCCCCGGAGCCCCCCGAGACTGGAGTGTCCCATCTCTGCCCGGAGCCTCCAGAGACTCGCGTATCTCATCTCCGCCCAGAGCCTCCTGAGACTGGAGTGTCCCGTCTCCACCCAGAGCCTCCCAAGACTCGGGTGTCCAGTCTCCACGCGGAGCCTCCTGAGAGTCGCGTATCTCATCTCTGCCCGGAGCCTCCTGAGACTGGAGTGTCCCATCTCCGCCCAGAGCCTCCCAAGCCTCGGGTTTCCAGTCTCCGCCCAGAGCCTCTTGAGACTCGCGTATCTCATCTCCGCCCGGAGCCTCCTGAGACTGGAGTGTCCCATCTCCACCCAGAGCTTCCCAAGCCTCGGGTATCCAGTCTCCACCTGGAGCCTCCCAAGACTCGTCGAGTGTCCAGTCTCCGCCTGGAGCCTCCCAAGACTGGTCGGGTGTCCAGTCTCTGCCCGGAGCCTACCAAGACCGGAGCGTCCCATCTAAAAGAACTGTTTCAGGAAGGTACATCAAGCACAATGGAGTGTGTTTCTGACTCTCTTCAACGTAGACACACATCGAGAAAACTCCGTGACTTCAAGTGGGCTGGAGACCTAGGAGTTAATGAAGAATCCATCAGCAGTCTGTTTGACTTTACCCCTGAGTGCAGAGCAACCTATCAAGACCAAAAGAATAAGAAGGCAAACGAGTGTTCCTCAGGGCTGAAGTACAGCATGGAGCTAGACGAAATGGATGAGGTCAAATTCTTCTCACAGGAAAAAGACTTGGACGGGAAAATCCAGAATGCACCAAATTCTCATAGTGCACAGCATGTGAAGATGGGGTATGGAGCATGGTACCTCAAGCCTAAGTTGGGGAAAAAGCTAAGAAGTGATGAACCTTTGATTGACCCCAAGCTCGTACTTGAAAAGCCTGATGAACCCGACATTCTTGACGGTCTTTATGGACCAATCGCCTTTAAGGATTTCATTCTAAGCAAGGGCTATGAAATGCCTGGCATCATTCAAAGGCTGTTTGCCAGGAGGGGATGGACTTATGACTCTGTTAAGACTCCTATTCAACGTGCAATGCAAGTTTACAAGTACAAAGAAGACGTCACAGATGCATCGGAAGAAGATTAGATGGTTTTGAATTTACTAGTTAATTGGGTATTTCTTGCTCTCATTTTAAACATCAGTCAGAATTTATGATGACTGGCCCCAGGAATGTACAACGTTGGCAACATCTGTAAATTCAATACCTAATGTTTATAAATATTTCTTAATGACCTGCTTTGGCTTCATTACTTCATATATTTTATCATTTATATGATTAATATTCACATATACTTTTTTCACACTTTTGAAGCATTGTGAATATTACATCATCATTTCAATTATTTGTAAAAATACATACAACCAGAAACAAAAGCAGAATTAATCTTAGAAAGAGAAATGGGGTCGGGTGCGTTGACTCACACCTGTAATCCCTCCCGCCTTTGGGAGGCCCAGATGGGTGGATTGCTTGAGCCCAGGAGTTCAAGAGCAGCCTGGGCAACATGGTGAAACCTGGTCTCTACAAAAAAATGCAAAAATTAGCCAGGCATGGTGGCATGCACGTGTAGTTCCAGCTACCTGGGGGGCTGAGGTGGGAGGATGGCTTCATGCCACCACACAGCAGTCTCGGCGACAGAGCAAGACCCTGTCTCAAAAAACAAACAAACAAACCAAATTTGCTGAGTGAAAGGATAATTCTATAACTCTTCTTATATGAAAATTCTAATGAAATAATTATGACAATTATTTTATTACTATAGCCAAAATAATGTTAACACTTTTTAATAGTAAAATTGTTATCTTCCCCCTTGTGATTCCATCAACCCCCCAAAACAAGTTTGAAAACTATTTATCAAAATCATAGTTGAAACTTGAGTTATGCCATTTTGTCATATCTCTCAATAGAATGTATGTATTTCACCATGTTCATAAACCTTCACAACAAAATACTATTACCAAATCATATAAACAAGTGCAGAATAGGAGGTAGCTTCAACTCCCTGGCAAATCTCATGTGCAAAATAGGATCTGTATGAGAAAAGCTACCAAGCAACATCAAATATCCTTACATATCTGTTCAAGTTAAAATAATTTTCATTTCATTCATAGCAATTTAAAATGCACTCATAAGTTTAAAATGATAAATCAAGCATCTGCTTTACCTTTCAAAAATAGCAGGTAAAACTGTCTGATATAGGTAAATTTGTAGGTAAATATATTTGTAGTGTAGATCTGAAGTGCACTTTTTCTTTCAGTGACGAAAGTGTCCATCTGTAAATGGATGTATATGCATATATTTCATCCAACTAAGCAGTGATATATAGATCTGTGTATGTGCAAATTCTGTTTCTAGTGAAGTTTGTCTTGTGGGTATTATGTTCCTGAAGAACCAAGTATTTTCTATGTTGTTTTCTAAGCCAAGGCCTAGAATTTCTCTTCAAATTCATCATCATAAACTTAGGTTCATGTCACCACTATCTCTTATTGTATTTCTGCAACGGTTTCCAACCTGTGTCTCTTCTCGAGTATATTTTTGCAAAATACAAGCATGGCTTGTTAATTCTCCAGGCTCATCTAAACTTATCTAGGTACATAAACACTCACACACACATGCACACACACACACTCACATGCTCCTGCATTCCAGACTCCAGTTAATATTCCTTTTCTTACCTCTGTGTGTTTCTTGTGTCTTTGTACATAATCTTCTCTACTGTTAGGACTTCACTCAGGCCATGTAATCCTGTTTCAGTGCTTTCCTCATCGAGGTCAATTTCATGATTACTTTTATTAAGATCTTATATCTGTAGACAAGGACCCACATTTTCCAGCTGTCTTCCACTGAAGAACTTACATCAGTATCCTAGAGAAATGAGTCATTAATGCCTTCAAAATAAGGGAAAATCCCATACTTATTTATTACAACTTCTGAGAGGCCAATACCATGCCTTATGGCTCAGAGTTATCTGGTTTCTGAGGTTCTCCACTGAAGCCTTGGGCTTCATGCAGCAGCATTCAATGTTCAGTTCCTTTCAGCAAGAGACAGACCTACTTTTTCACATTTGGTTGTGTGACCTTGAGCTTCATGGAGGATGTATCCTCATTTACACAATGGACACCATATCATCAAACTCAAATTCTGGTGAGACTTAATTACTTATTGGAGTGCCTAATGCCTCAGGCATCACAGAATTAATACAAAACCTGCATTTGTGGAAGAGAAGGAGGGAGTTGGAAAGGAAGAAGGGTACTAAAAATATCACAACAGAAATACACTATACAAACATAACTTTTTGATGGTGTTTATCTGGTGATAGCCTTCACCTATATCACACACAATCTTAGCCATTGCTTAACATGAAAAAGTAGGGCTTGCTTTGGCTGCACATATACTAACATTAAGATGAAAAAGTGTAAATGCAAAATAAGAGCCACTGGTTATGGTTTCTATTGCTTCTTGGTAATGGCTACTTCCAGGAAAATAAACTTTCCTCACAGAAATTATGTGGGTTTCTCTACACTGTAATTACACACATTGGTATTAGTTGTCATACAGATATAAACAGAAACAATGTTTGATCTATTTGGATTTTTAACACCAGTTGGACTTCTGAAAACATCCTGACTTCAAATCCATAGGTTTTAGAAAGAGAGAGAATTCAAGAGAGCTTGATATGTAACTGTGCCTGTGTAGCCTAAAGCTATGAATGGTATATTCCATAAATACTGTAGTAATCAATTGTATTACAGCATCACATAGGTTTCACAAAAGCTTTGGAGAATTTGGCTGTAGGAATATGTGATTTAACAAAGATGAAGGGAATTATTTTCATTTCTGAGAGTCTGAATGAATGAGCAAGGCTTTTGGAGCTAGGCAAAAATGAGTTCACATCCCAGTGCTGCCATGTTCTTATCATATAGCTTTAGGCAGAGGCAGAACAGGTGGAGGGAAGATACAGAGGGTGGGCTGAAGGGGGAGGAAGCTAGGAACCCTTTCTAGGGCTAGTGCACACTGGAATGTGTTCCTGGCCCCCAGTGACTCCTACAGAGGGGATGAGTTTAACAGGCAAGGAGCTACCCACTCTCACTGTGGGCCTTTGGAATCTTAGCAAGAGGAGACCCTAGACCACCATGGACACTTGAGTTGTCAGGGAAAGCTACTTAGAGAAGTGGTAGCGGTAGAACTCCAGCCACAGGCAGAGCACAGAGGGTGTCCTGTGGGAGCAACTGTAGTGGAGCACTGTCAGAGATGTGCATCCCCCTAGGCTAGAATTGCTTGCACAGGATAATTTTGCCCTAGGGGAACCTTTGGACCTGAACTCTGCAGGGCAGTCTTACCCAGGAGACAGGACTAGGCCAACCTGAGCACCTCTCAGTCTGCTGGCCTCCTGCGGGGCCCCAGCCTGGCCACAGCTGCTTGCAGCACAGCTGCTAGGTGCCTCTTGGAGCCCACATTATAGCTGGTGGACCACACCTGACTGGCAGAGTGCTCCAGCCGAGTGGCCTCTGAAAACACATAACAGCTCGTTTGCACCCATGGCCACCCTCCACATCACTATGCTGGTGCATATATGCCCAGGCAGACCTAGCCTTCTCTTCCCCGCCAGCACAATGGTACACCTGCACCCTACCTTGCCACTGCTGCTGGAGTGAGTGCACCTCCTCCCCCCACCCCCAACCCCACCACACCACCATTGTCTTCAGAACATTGGTGGGCACAGAGCCACCCAGCCCCCACTGTCAGCACGCTGCCCATGAACCTGGGCCACCAGAGCAAAACTAGGCATGGAAAACAGTAGACTAGCCCCTAGCCTTGAGCGGCTGCTGCTGCCAGCATGAACGTGCACAGAGGGTGCACACAGTCCTGCACCCACCAATGCACCCACCTCCATGCTATAACCACCAGCTGCAGGGACATGCACACAGTCCCAGTGGGGGCTCCTCACCCCCACCAAGCCATACTGCCACCACTGCTGCTTCAAATACTCACATCAAGACTAGCACCCCGGCCATGGAAATAAAAAGGATTATAAGAGACTACTAAGAATAATTGTATACCAACAAATTGGAAAACCTGGAAGAAATGGATAAATTCTTATAAATGTATAACCTACTAAAACTGAATCATGAAAAAAATAGAAAATCTGAACAGATTCATAACTAGTAAGGACATTGAATCAGTAATCAAAAACCTCCCAACAGGCTGGGCGTGGTGGCTGACGCCTGTAATCTCAGCACTTTGGGAGGCCGAGGCGAGTGGATCACTTGAGGTCAGGAGTTCCAGACCAGCCTGGCCAACATGGTGAAACCTCCTCTCTACTAAAAATACACAAATTAGCTGGGCCTGGTGGTGGGCACCTGTAATCCCAGCTACTCTGGAGGCTGAGGCAGGAGAATCCCTTGAACCCAGGAAGCGGAAGTTGCAGTGACCTGAGAACAAGCCACTGCACTCCAGCACTCCAGCCTGGGTGACAGAGCAAGACTCCATCTCAAAAAGCAACAACAAAAAACCTCCCAACAAAGTAAAGCTCAGGACCAGATGGCTTCATAGGGGAATTCTACCAAACATCTAAGGGAAGATTAAGGCCAATCTTTCTTGAAATCCTCCAAAAAAATTTAAAAGATAGAATACTTCCAAACTCATTTTATGAGGCCAGCATTATCTAACAGGAAAGCCAAAAAAAAAGACACTACAAGAAAAGAAAACTACGGGCCAATATTCTTGAATATAGATGCAAAAATCCTCGAAAAATAATAGCAAACTGAATTTAACACATTGAAAGGATTATATACGACAAACAAGTGATATTTATCCCTAGGATGTAAGGATGGCTCAACATACGCAAATCAATAATGTAACACATTAACAGAACAAAGAATAAAAATTACATGATTGTCTTAATAGATTCAAAAAACTATTTTTAAAAATTCAATTTTATTATAATAAAGGCATTCAACAAACCTAGAATACAAGGAAATTCCCTCAACATAATAAAGGCTGTATATGAAAAGTCCACAGCAAATATCATACTCAGTGGTGAAAAACTGAAACTTTTCCTCTAAGACCAGGAACAAGCAAAGACGCACACCCTTGCCACTATTATTCAACATATTTATCAGAGCAGTTAGGCAAGACAGAGAAATAAAAGTGCCTAAGTTGGAAAGGAAGAAGTTAAATTGTCCCTATTTGCAGATGACATGATCTTATATATAGAAAGCCTTAAAGATGTAACCAAAATAATAATAATAAGAAGAAGAAGAAGAACAAATAAATGAATTTAGTAAAGTTACAGGTAAGGAAATCAATATACAAAATTTAGTCGTGTTTTTATACACTAACAATGAGCTGTCTGAAACGAATTAAGAAAATAATCTCATTTATAATAGTATCAAAAAGAACAAATTCTTAGAAATACTTAACCAAAGAGGTGAATGACATGTACTTTGAAAACCATATGCTATGGTTTGTATGTAGTTTGTCTCCACGAAAATTCATGTTGAAATTTAATTGCCAGTGTAATGGTATTGGGAGGTAGTAACTTTAAAAGGTGATTAGGTAATGGCTTTCTCACAGGAGTGAGTTCTTGGTCTTGTGAGACTGATTTCATTATCATGAGAGTAGGTTGTTATAAAGTAAGCCTGCCTCTCATGTTTGGCCTCTTTGCATGTGCCTGCTTCCCCTTCCAATTCTCTGCCATGTTATGACACACAAAGCCCTCACCAGAAGTTGGCCACATACAGCCACCTGATCTTGGACCTCCCATCCTCTACAATTGTGAGCTAAATAAACCTCTTTACTTTATAAGTTACCCAGGTATTCTGTTGTAGCAACAGAAAACAGACTAAGACAACGTATAACGTTGATTAAATAAATTAAAGAAGCCATGAATAAATGGAAAGGCATCTCATGTTCATGGATAGGAAAAACATTTTTAAAATGTCCAATAACTCAAAGCAATCTATAATTCAATGCAATCCCTATCAAAATCCTTATGATATTTTTTACAGAAATAGAAAAAAAATCCTAAAATTCATATGGAACCACCAAGAACTCTGAATAGCAACATGAAAGAACATTATTTCTCTTTGTTCTTCAGAAAAACAGAACAAAACTAAAGGCTTCATGTTTCCTAATTTAAAAATATATTACAAAGCTACAGTAATAAAAAAAACAGTATGGTACTGGCATAAAGACAGACATATAAACCAATGAAACAGACTAGAAATCCAGAAATAAACCTGCCCATATATGATCAACTACGAAGAATAAACAATGCAAAAAGGGTACTCTCTTCAATAAGGTGGTGGGAATACTGTATAGCCACATGCAAAAGAATGATCAGATCCTTCTCTTGCACCATATACAAAAATAAACTCAAGATAGAATAAGGACTTAAATGTGAGACCTGAAACTCTAAAACTCCTAGAAGAAAACATAGAGGGAAAGCTTTATAACTTTTGCCATGACAATTATTTCTTGGAATTCTCACTTTGTGAGATTTAGTGGAGGTCAGACCTCACTTCCTTTTACATAATTGAAAATGCCACATTCAGATTTTTCACAACTTTCCTTGCAGCTAGGATGTGAGTACATGACAACATTCTGCCAATCAGATGCTCTTGTCAGTACTATCAGGCTTTGAATTGAAGCTAACCATGTCAAATATCTGTGACTATGGAGATTCACCTTGGGTGGAAAGTTTGGCTGTCTCAAGATCGAATTCCCAGGGAAGCAGAGACAGGGTCTTAGTGGCAGCATGAAATGTCCCATGCTGTGGTAGTTCTGACACAAACTGTATCATCTATTACATAGTGATGGTGGCAACTGAGTCCTCAATAGGCTTTTATGTGGGGTGATTTAGAGCGACATTCCTGCCCCTCAGCCTCTGCCCAGCTTTCCAGCCCTCCCAGAGTTTCAGTGAGCTACACAATTTTCTTTTAATAAATTCCTTTTCTGTTTAAATCAGCAAAAGTTATTTTCAGACTGATATAACCTCTGATCTTTGTAAGTGTCCAGGGTTTCTCTTTTTTCCTGATCTTCGTTGTTCTAACTTTTTCAGTTTGAAATTAATTTTCTTCAATGAAAAAATAAAGATAAAAGAAATGGAATAGTTTTGCCTTCCTTCTATCAACTGTTATGAAACAACCAATACTCCTGTAACTTTTTGTCCCTTCTTTCTCAGAGAATAAAAGAAAGGAATTGTGTCTTCTTTTTGCATGCTTACTTAATAATCCTAAACTCTCCCTGCCTTTCTGATGCCATTCTGGGGCTTCATGCCATTCCTCCAATTCATATTTGGTTAGTTGCCTCCATCTCATCTTTGTGTTTTTAAGATCTTTGTCTTTCAGCAAATTCTCTCTGCAACTCCAATGAACTCTTCAGCTGCCTCTGTATTAGGCAGGAACTCAACTCGCCCTGAATTTCTCCAAAAGAGAACTGATGGGTTGAAACCAAGAGATCCTGGCATGGCTTACACTAAGCGCTAAAATAATGATGTGAAATTTTTCTCCCTTTCTCCTGCCTCCTCTTCCTCCTTGTCCTCTCCTCACCCCAGGTTGGATTCATTTTGAGGCAGGCTTTTTCTACAGTTTAGCAATCTTCGTAGAAAAAGAGTGTTTCTCTGTGGACACATAAAGGGGAACCACAGACACTGGGGTGGTGGACAGTGGGAGGAGGGAGAGGATCAGGAAAAATAACTGATGGGTACAAGGCTTAATACCTGGGTGACAAAATGATTTGTACAACAAACCCCCATGACATGTGTTTACCTATATAACAAACCTGCACATGTGCCTCGAACTTAAAATAAAAGTTAAATTTAATAAATAAATAAAATGAAGAAAAGGAGTGTTTCTCTCAAGATTTTGACTCTCTTTGGCCTAGTTTTGGTCACATGCCCATTCCAGAATGAATCTGGTTGGCCAAGCTTTGGTCACATGCTTATGCCTGGGAACATGTTATGAGAGTGGGAAAGAAGTGATTCCCCAATGAAAATTTAGGGTGTTGATGCCAAAGCAAAGGCTGTGGGCTGCTGGGCAAGCAAAATCTTCCCAGTTTGTCTGAGTGTTTCCCCCCAACACTTGCAAAGTAACTGTCAAAGAGTTTATTCTTGTCTGTGAGAATTTTGAAATAACTGCTTCCCAAACATGAGCCCAGACTTATCCAGGATCTACGTCAGACAATGTGTATGACAACAATGTACTACTCTTCCTATTCCTAACACTTCTGAATCACCACCATCACTACCCAGTTTTTCCTTGTGGTTAATATTAAGTCAACATCAGTGGTTCCCATTACTCTTACTTTCCATTGACAGATAATACATTTATTTGGGGTAGACAACAATGTATCAGGTAATCTGTCTTTAGTACAATGAGATTTCTGCAAGTGCCCAGTGGCTGAAACCCTCCATCATCACTGAACCAGTTTTGCTATAATGCTAAGCTAATTGGAAAGCATTACAGGTAAAAACACCTCAAAGTTCTCAATCTCCTCCAAGTTTTACTTATCCTTTTCCACCAAGAAGGAAGATTCGATAAAAAATTTATTTCCGGTTTTTCCATACACTAGTATGTGACCTTAAGCAAGTCTTCTCTACTTTTTAGCATCTCAGATTTTAAATCTATTTTAGAAGTTGGTTGTAAGCTAAAGTGCGGTAAAAATATAATAAAATAATTTTAAAAATAAGAGATTATAAGATCTTAGCTATACTTATTAAACTGTTTTAGTTTGAAATTCAAATCAAGCAAATTTGGACAATTTATTGGCTCACAAAATCAAGGGAATGACAGGGAAATAGCTAAGCAGAAAAGACAACTGGAATTAGGAACTTGAGTGTTGTTAGAACAGTCTCATTCTGTTTGTATTCCTCTAAGCCTAGGGGAATATGGCTGCCTCACAATTCACAGTGTTCTCCATCAAAGGGAAACTGAGACATATTCCACTGATTCAATTTAATAAGCTCCTACTACATAACCGTCATTATTCAAGGTGATACACATACATCAGAGAGCAAAACAAAGTTCCGGATCCTCACGTAGCACCCCATCCAGTGGCCATAAATTTAAAATTCTAAGGAAGAACTCTCTTTAGCTCTGTTTGAGTCATAGGCTTACTCCTGGGCCAATGAGTGATGGTCAAGTGGAGCTCAAGTGGAACTTGATAAATGGAATGGTCTTATCTCTAGAAATTTAGATTCAAAGAATGGATCCTGAGAATTTGTGTTTTTAACAAGCCCTCCCAAGTGATTGTGATATAGGTAATTATTGAAAGAAACAGGAAAACACTTTTCTCTTGCACAAAGGCACCATCATTTTTTGGCCTTATCTTAGAAAGTCACATTTCTGTCTACATACCCTGATGCTAGTAGCATGCTATCCTCCAGTAATACTTTCTCGTACCTTTGTATTAAGGGCCAACCATGACGATGAATGAAGAACTATACAGTGAAAATAGCAACAACCACATTGAAACAATTGTGGACTTTTATAAAGAGCTGGCCTGAGGCAGCAACTCAGGCATGGGGAAGCTCATGGAAAAAATGACTTTTCTTTAACACGTGTGACAAGTGATAAAAAAAAATACTTTAGGTCTTTAGAATTTCTGCAACAGCTTTTTCTTTTGGTCATGCTATATGTTTATGGAAGCCTAATTTGCATGGAAATTTGTTGAAGGTGGAGATCAGTTTAGTCTCATAGGTTGACTTCTGAAATTCAATGTCCAAGTGCTTGATGGGAAGAATATTCCAAGGCATTGTAGGCAACTGAGTCAAAGCAAACATACTCAGGAAGGGCCACTTTCCCTCTCCAGGGGTATGTCCCTGCTAGGCGATAGAGAAAAGGTGCATTTTGCTTGTCAGCCAGGTTGCTAATTTCATTTGCATGCTATGAGAGTTTTGCATGTCTGTAGCCCAAATGTGGCTGAACTGAAAATATGTTAGGGAAACAGAATTCATGAAAGGAAATTGAGTAAGACTGGTTTGGATGGCAAAGAAAAGAGATTTGATGAAATCTCTTGTCTCGTTTTTCATTTCTAATTATGGCTTTTTGAAAAATCTGTCAGATTACATTTGAATAATTTTAGTAGGCATTAATCACAAAATAGTCCAAAAGACAGAATTTGCAGTAGTACAATTATTTTCACCATTTCTTACTTTAAACTGCTTTTTATGATGAATTCATTTCAAAGAAAATTTCACTTGGTTTTAAGTCATAAGACTTTTAAATATTTGTTCTGCCTTCCCAGAAAAATAATCGTTCAAGAATATATGGTTTAAGTTCTTCAGATATCACATTTGACTTAATTAATGCATATGTCTATAAAATGAATGTGTATTCTATCCTATTTGAGAAAACACAACATCTTTGAGCACTTACTCTGTATAGGAGTCTGTGAGGCATTGGATCAGGGAGAGGGCAGAGAAAAGGGGCACAATGGGAATAAATCAGTTCCCATTCATAAGGACCCTTTAACACAATGGAAAGTACAGATGTATAAAAACATAAATGACTAATTGATAAATGCAAAATAAAAAAGTATTAAAGAATGCTGAGTGTGTAAAACTCTGTGTATGTATTTTTATATATTTATGCAGAAATATAGCATTAAAAGTGCTTTCAGTCATGATTCTCAGAAACAGACCCTGAGAAGATGATTGGCATGCAACTGATTTATTAATGATATTCTTGGAGGGCTTGGGGGACTGCTAATGGGAATGAGAGAAGCAAAAAGGAAAAGATAAAATGACAAGTCAAAGTACCATTTTAGATCCAGTCTCACAGAGGGTAGCTTCAACATGTTATCAGGAGTAAACTCTGGAGTGTAAGTTACCCTTCAGAGTTGTCCGAATCTGAATCAAAGAAGCTATGATTTCATACTTCCGCATCTACAATCACTGAAAAGCAGTTCCTTTAGCCTGAGTGGCATTTTCCTCCTGAAGAAAAGCTCCAGATGTTGGCCTGGTTGTTGAAAGCACACCAAAGTGAGGAAGGGCTAGGAAAACTCCTAAAAAGTGATACTTGTGCCCTCCACAGCAAATGTGGAATATTTTGCCTAATTGCAAAATATACATTATCTCTTTTTGTAAGTCATTATCATACCATGATATTTCCACTTAATCCTGCTAAGGAAAATACTTTCATATTTTCATGCCCTACTGTAGACATTTAAAACATATAATGCCTTAGAGTAGATATTTTAAATGATTTACTGTTGAAGTAATAAGTTAATGAAAAAAGTTAATGCATAAAAAGGTAAAAGTCCTATTCTGGTAATATGAAATTTTCCTTGGAAGCCATATAGATGAAATAAGAGACTATAGTTCAGGAATTTACAGAATGCATTATTTAAAATTTTTCCTTTAAACAGTAACTGTCTCATAAAAAATGCATCTCATAACTATCATTTTCAAAACCAGATGCTTTCTGGTGGTTTTCTATTTTGCCTGACTAGAAACTATGCCATGTACATGGCAAATCTCCATGCGGGGAGATGATTTTTGGTTTCAATTATTGATCCATTTTATACATATTTATGGAGGGCTTAGGAGTCCTAGATGTTCAAGGACATCTGGTCCCTCTTCTGAAGGAGCGCCCAGAGTAGGAGGGGCTACAGCACCCACGGCAGATTAATTCTAATCAGAGGAGGTGGCATACAGGATGGACCCTCACCTGAGGGCACTTAGGGTGAGCTGCACAGGGTCAGTATTTGAATGCTAAATTTGCATTTTCCAGGTGAGGAAGGAGGGACAAAGACATTCCAGCTGAGACGTTTTCCCATTTGAAGGCAGAAATAACAATAGCTAGCTAATATTTATTGAGGGCTCTCTTTGTGCCCAGCACTGTGTAATATGAATCAACATGGATTTGTGAAAGACCATGGGATTTTGCAGCAATCTGACTAAAGTAAGTAGAATCTGATTGTGAAGGGTCTCATGGAATGAGGTTCATAAATGGTGTCAGAGTAATCAATATTATTAATGAACTGATTTCCTGGGGTAATGAGGAACTCCTAACACGAAACAGAATCATCCCTTGCCTTTGGGAGATCATTACATCTCCTTTGGGAGATGCAAACATGCATCTACTTTGGACACAAAAGACTATTCACACCCATGGCCTTAGAATCAGAAACCGTTAAACACAAATGCTCATGACTATCTGCCTCAAACACAGCAAAACGGAGGTTGGAACAAAGGTAACACTCATGACCTTGATCTTATTAACCCCAATGATTCATTTGAGCACTCTAGAATAACGCTTCTCAACTTTTAACATGCATGGAGATCATCTGCAAATGTTGTTTAAATGCAGATTCTGATTTATGAGGGGGCCTAAGATTTTGTACTTCTGACACGTTTCTGAGTGATGCTGATGCTTCCAGTCCATGGACCACACTTTGAGTAATAAAACTCTAGTTCACTGGTTCTCAGTACAGGATGCACATTTGAACCACCTGGGAAGCTTTGCAAACTACTGAGGCCTGGATTCCACCCACATAAATTCTGATTAACATGTCAGCGGTGTGTTCTGAACATTGGAAGTTGTTGAAATTTCCCAGGTGATTCTAATAAGCAACAAAGAGTGAGAACCACTATAGTTAGTTATAAATGCACAGGTGAACTATCAAGGGTATATTTGACATGTCGATAAAGCACCGTTGAGAGGAGAAATAATTTTATTGAAAAGATGATTTTGGAAAATGGAAAGAGTATCACTTCTGATTGGAATAGAATGCTTAACAAAGTTAAACAAAATTACCAAGACATGCAAATGATGTTTCATATTGCAATGGTCATTCAGACTTTCTATTAATAACTTGGCAGTTAGGATTGAAAGTGTGTCCTTTAAAGTTTTACATATATCATAATATCAAAATCTTAGTAAAAATATTTTTTCTATTTAAAAATGTAATGTGTGCTCATCATAGAACATTTGAGAAATAAATCTCATAATTTCAATTACTAGAGAAATGTAATATTTTCATATATTTTCTTTCATAATATTTCATGCATTTTCAAAGGGTGTGTTGAGTTTTACAAAACTGAAAATGCTGTACTTTTTATTAAAAGTATCTTAAAAGTATAATTTGTAATGGCTACTGTTGTGTATCTAGTATTTAATTATTTTTGTAAATCAATGTGGGACATAGTATTCTTTTCTTTGGTAGAGTGGCTCATCATTGTACCTGTTACAGCAGAACATGAATAATTCAGTTAAATAAATTTTAATAGACTGCCATTCTCCATCATTTCTAAAGCAAATATCTATAGTGAGACCTCAATATGAAAATTATATGACTATAAATAGTAGCAAAACTGAGCTGCAACACAGAAATATTTTTGTTAGCGGGTTGGGCTTTACTTTCCCTAGGCACAAATGGGGCTTAGACTAAAAGTACACATAGCGATGCCTTATCTTGCTTGGTTATTCAAACATCTACTTGCTAATTTGGATGCTGGAACTGCTGCTGAAGAGATATATAGAAATTGCTCAAGACCTGACAAATATTTAAAATAGCTCAAACCAAACTATGGGAATAGTCTTTGGCAGAAAGGTGTAATCAGATTTGCTCTAAGATGTCTGAAGGAGGAGTCTTTCTTATTGTTAGCAGTAATTGAACAGTAACTCTCCTTATTTAGTTTGATGGGGTGCTAGAGATGGATTTTAAAAATTTACCCAGGCTAGCAGTTGGTAGCTTTATCACTTCATTAAAACTCCCCAAATACTTCATGTATATAATCAATGATGAGACTTTGAAAATGGTTTTATAATTATTCCTTTACTATTTTTAGTTGGATAATTTTAAGACTGTATTCTTATTAGATCTTATGTATCTTCCCATTCTAGAGGTTGTTATAATCCTAAATTTTGTGTTTATTATTTCCATTTATGTCTTTATACTTTATGTATACACGTAAAATTTATACATACATATTTATTTTGCACGTTGATAAACTATTTATAAACAGTATCATACTGTGTGTACCCTTTATAACTTGCTTTTTGATCAATGTCGACTTTTTTGAGATCTATCTCTATTGACACAGATAGCTCCACTCCATTCATTTTCATTGCTGTATAGTATTTCATCATATAACCATACTATACCACAACATACTTATCCATTTTGCAGATGAATATTAAAGGTGTTTTTGTCTTTTTCCTACAAAAATAATGTTGTAAGAATCTACTCATTTCTATATATGAGTTTCTTTAGGGATTATACGTAGGATGGGAAATGCTGGGTCATAAGATTGGCCCATCATACATTTTACTAGGTATTGCCAAATTTTAAGCCAAAAGCATTGAAGCAATTTACAATCTCTACCAAGAATAATAGAGAGGTTGAATTCCTTAATATCCTCACCAAGCCATGGTATTATCAAATATTTTATATTTTGTCAATTTGATGGATGTAAAATAGTATCTTGTAGTTGCTTTAATGTTCTTCTCCTATTTTATTGCATTACTACTCTGTGTATTAGTCAATTATTTTTCCTAGTCTATGAATTGATATCTTTTACCCATTTTTGATTGGGTTGTTAGTCTTTCTTCTGTTAACTTATAGTAGCTTTTAATATAGTCTGATAACTAATCCTGTCAGTTGTATGTTATAAAAATCTCTCACAGTCTGTGTCTTGTCTTGTCTTATTTTTGTGGTGTTCTTTGATAAATGGACATTTTGAATTTTAAGGTAGTTAAATTTATCAATCTTTTCCATTACTGTTTGTACTTTTAAGAATTCCTTCCCTACTTTGAATCATAAAGAGAATCAGAAAATCATTCTCTTTTAGTTTCCTTCTAAAACTTTTACAGTTTTGCTTTTTCACATTTGGATCTTAAAATATACTAAAATTGTTTTTGGTATGTGGTGTGAAGTATGCATTCAGTATTTTTCTATGTTGCTAAGCAATTGCCTGAATCATTTATTAAATTGTTTATCCTTTCCCTACCTAACTGCAACGTACTTTATAGGTGGATTATATACTTCCATCATAAAGTTCATAATGTCAGGGTTATTCTATTTTTCTTTTTCTTTTTTGCTTTTTGTGAGAATAGCAGACCCTGAAGATCACTGCTTGGATTCACTATATCATTAGGAGTCACGAGTTGGAAATATTCTAATTCTATCTTACCTTCTTCATTTATTGCTGAAATGCTTCTAAAAACAGAATTCTTCTCATCAACTATTTGGTTACCTTGGAATACAGGCCATATAGGAAAGGCAGAATAAATGCTGGGTTCTTTCCCCTTATTACAAGCTCTCAAAAAAATATGTTGTTTTCCTGGTATAGATTTAAAAATATTTGATGTGTTTTAATTATTGTTGCTATTCTTACTGATGTCCTCTTTCTTTCCTGTAATTGTTTTTATTTTGCAGCAAAGCTATATTTGCAGAGTATAAGGAGTCAAATAACTTCCCCATTTACCACATTCCAAAGGCAATAATTTTGTATTCTTTTAGCTAATTAGTTTGGTATCTTTAAATAACCTGATTATTACTTTCTTTATTTTCAGTTTTCAGCATTTTCTGCTGACTTCCACTTACTGAAGATGAGGATTTAGATCATTTCACCCTTCCAAACCTCCACCACACACACGCACCCATCACCTATCACCTTCATATACTTACAGGATAATCATGATTAGTTCAATCTTAAGTGTTTTCACTGACTATGTAAATACTATTCACAGATGAGCCCCAAATAACAGTATGGTTACTTTTTCCATTTTTGCACAACATTTTATTTTACGTATAGTTAATAATTGCCATGTTTTTTTGCTTGCTCAGTTTCCCACATTCTTAGTACAAACTCAATCTCCACCTCTATTAGTTGTCTAAATCTCTTCCTAACCCATTTAATGGATCAAGTGTTCTCTCCATTTCAACATCTTGAATAAGCTCTCTGAAGTCTTCAGGCTACCTCCAACCCAGTCTGCTGGTGTATAGCTGCCATTGTGTGATCTCCCCCATCCCTTAGCCTGTGAATTTCTGTGGCCTCTTTCGTTGCATCCACTGTTTCCTGTCTTCCTTATCTCCCTTTTCCTGGATTATTTCCTTATTTTGATGAAGCTCATCCTCTAGTACATTGCTAAGAACAAACACATAGGAAATAAATTTTTGACTTCACTTATACAAAAATATTTTCATTTGACTCTCACACTTAGTTGAAAATTGAATAGAATTCTAGCTTGAGAATCATTTTCACCTTAAAATTTTTGAAGGCATTGCTCCATTGCCTTCTAGCTACTGGGCTGCCATTAAAAGGACTGAAGACATTAGAATCCCTGGCCTTTTGAATATCAACAGTTTATTCCTCTCTCTGGATAAAGGAAGGATTATCTCTTTGTCCCTGTGGGCTCCAAAATTTAGTGATCATATGCCTTTGTATGGGTCTATTTTTGTCAATTTTGCTGAGCATCTGATAGGCCCTTTAATGTGAAAGGTCATGTCCTTCTGTTAAGGGACTTTTTATTACTAGTTCTTTAACAATCTCTTTCTCTCAATTTTCTTTGTCTTATTTTTCTGTAATTCTTAATAATTGCATGTTGAACCATCTGGATTGGTTCTTTAAATTTTTTTTATCCTTACCCTATTATCTATTTGTCTTATTGCTCTACTTTGTGGAAATTTTTCTCAACATTGTATTTTAAACTTTTAATATTTTCATTGTTTTAATTTTCAAAAGAATTGTTTTTGTTCTCTGAATGTTCCTTTCACTAGCACCCTTTTCCTATTTAGTAGATGCAATATTCTTTTCTCTCTGAGGATATTAATGAAATTTTTTTTAAATTTTACTTTAAGTTCTGGGATACATGTGCAGAATGCGCAGTTTTGTTGCATAGGTATACACATGCCATGGTGGTTTGCTGCACCTATCATCCCATCTTCTATGTTTTAAGCCCCGCATGCATTAGGTATTTGTCCTAATGCTCCCCATCCCCTTGCCCCCCACCCCCCAACAGGCCCCAGTGTGTGTTTTTCCCCTCCCTGTGTCCATGTGTTCTCATTGTTCAACTCCCACTTATGAATGAGAATATGCGGTGTTTGGTTTTCTGTCCCTGTGTTAGTTTGCTGAGAATGATGGCTTCCAGCTTCATCTATGTCCCTGCAAAGGACATAAGCTCAATCATTTTTATGGCTTCATAGTTCTCCATGGTGCACACGTGCCACATTTTCTTTATCCAGTCTATCATTGATGGGCATTTGGGTTGGTTCCACGTCTTTGCTATTGTAAATAGTGCTGCAATAAACATATGTGTGCATGTGTCTTTATAGTAGAATAATTTATTATCCTTTGAGTATATACCCAGTAATGGGATTGTTGGGTCAAATGGCAGTTCTGGTTCTAGATCCTTGAGGAATTGCCACACTGTCTTCCACAATGGTTGAACTAGTTTGCACTCCCACCAACAGTGTAAAAACATTCCTATTGCTCCACAGCCTCACCAGAATCTATGGTTTCCTGACTTTTTAATAATTACCATTCTGACTGGCATGAGATGGTATCTCATTGTGGTTTTGATTTGCATTTCTCTGATGATCAGTGATGATCTTTTTTCCATGTTAGTTGGCCATATAAATGTCTTCTTTTGAGAAGTGTCTGTTCACATCCTTGCCCACTTTTTGATGTGGTTGTTTTTTCTTGTAAATTTGTTTAAGTTCCTTGTAGATTCTGGATATTAGACCTTTGTCAGATAGGTAGATTGCAAAAATGTTCTCCCATTCTGTAGGTTGCCTGTTCACTCTGATGGAAAAACATTCCATGCTCATGGATAGGTAGAATCAATATCGTGAAAATGGCCATACTTCCCAAAGTAATTTATAAATTCAATGTTATTCCCATCAAGCTACTATTGACTTTCTTCACAGAATTAGAAAAAACTACTTTAAATTTCATATGGAACAAAAAAGGAGCCCGTATAGCCAAGACAATCCTAAGCAAAAAGTACAAAGCTGAGGGGATCACACTCCTTGATTTCAAACTATACTATAAGGCTACAGTAATCAAAACAGCATGGTACTGGTACCAAAACAGATATGTAGACCAATGGAACAGAACAGAGGCCTCAGAAATAACACCACACATCTGCAACCATCTGATCTTCAACAAACTTGACAAAAACAAGCAATGGGGAAAGGATTCCCTATTTAACAAATGTTGCTGGGAAAATTGGCTAGACATATGCAGAAAAAAGAAACTGGACCCTTCCTTACACTTTATACAAAAATTAACTGAAGTTGGATTAAAGACTTAAACATAAAACCCAAAACCATAAAAACCCTAGAAGAAAACTTAGGCAATACCATTCAGGACACAAGCACGGGCAAATACTTCATAATGAAAACACCAAAAGCAATTGCAATAAAAGCCAAAATTGACAAATGGGATCTAATTAAACTAAACAGCTTCTCCACAGCAAAAGAAACTAGCATCAGAGTGAAATTTTATTCTTTAAAATTATCTTATCCTTACAAATTCCGTTTGTCCTCCCACACTGCTATTTCTGTTTGTTTGTTTGTTTGTTTGTTTGTTTTGTTTTGTTTGACCTCCATCTTCCAGTCTGGAGGATTTCCTCGGAAAATTTCTCTCTTTGGTTTGTCTGTTCATCCTTAAATATGATGTATTCAAAAGCTGATTGGAAGCTCTATGGGAGTAGTTGGGTTTTGTCGAATGTGGGTGACATGGTAATGTGGTGACATGACTGGCCTATTCCCTTGGGGAACCTTTAATTTAAACATCCACAGAGAAGGACTATCCAATAACCTGCCTGGAGGTCACAAGTCTGAGTGCCATTGCTACAGGAGCTAAGTGGAAGAAGAAATCTGGGAGATGCGGCATCTCAAATTTTGTCTATAAATGTTCACTTAATCCCCTAGTTTTCACACAGTACTTCTAACCTCAACTATGCCTGGTGTTCTCTGGTCCTGAAGTTCCTTGTCTTATCCTCTCCATAGACTGATCCCCAGTTGCTGTTTGAGTCTAGGCAGGACAGTCAAATGCTGCCCATAAGGGAGGAGATCACCCTTCATATTGTCTTATGCCCAATTTCTGCCTCCAAAGAAAGAAGTAAAAACTAAAAGGCAGAAATGAAATCCACAGGCAGATAGCCAGATGCCCACCCTGGTAGTTAAAAATCAAGCCCTGACCTAACTGCTTGTGTTATCTATAGATTCCAGACATTGTATGGAAAAGCATTGTGAAAAACCCTGTCCTGTTCTGTTCCATTCTAAATACTGATGCATGCAGCCCCCAGTCACGTACCCTCTGCTTGCTCAATTGATCACGACCCTCTCACGTGGACCCCCTTAGAGTTGTAAGCCCTTAAAAGGGATAGGAATTGCTCACTCAGGGAGCTCAGCTTTTGAGATGCCAAGTCTGCTGAAGCTCCTGGCCAAATAAAGCTCCTTCCTTCTTTAACCCAGTGTCTGAGGAGTTTTGTCTGCGGCTCATCCTGCTACACACACAGTGAGGGAGGTGGACTGGATTCCAAATGCTTTGTACACAGAAGTTCACCCAATCCTTCTGCTTTTAACCCTGTCCTCACCCCAATTTTCAGGGCTCACTATTACTACCAGTCCTAAGCTTTTCAGGGTGCTGCTGGGTGGATCAGATTGGTTCTCAGCTTTCCTCCCTGCCAGTTTAGAAATTAGATTTCTTAAGTTTTCTGAGTCATTTACTGCTTTGCAGTTTCTAAATTGTGTTTCTGTTGTCTTATCTCCCATTGTACTTATCCTTTTAGGTTTCTGTCTTTAAAACATCCACTTTCCTCTTATTTCAGAGGAGCTTTGGGAAAAAGCAAAGAGAAGATAATACATTTCCAGATGCACAATTCCTTTTGGAGTAGAAACTCTTTCTTCTGTCTTCTCTTTGTTCTTTTGTTCTCTTTGTTCAGTCACTGATTTTCAAGAAATAAAATCATATTCCCATTGTATAGATAGAACATATTAGGGATAGGCTTTGCACGGTGGCTCACGCCTGTAATCCCAGCACTTTGAGAGGCCAAGGCAGGCAAATCACTTGAGTTCAAGAGTTTGAGACCTGCCTGGCCAACATGGTGAAATCCCATCCCTACTAAAAATACAAAATAATTAGCTGGGTTTGGTGGCATGTGCCTGTAAACCCAGCTACTTGGGAGGCTGAGGGGAGAAGATCGGTTGAACCTGGGAGGTAGAGGTTGCAGTGAGCTGAGATGGCACCACTGCACTCCAGCCTGGGTGATAGGGTGAGATTCCGTCAAAGAAAGAAAAAGAAAGAAGGAAAGAAAGAAAGAAAGAAGAAAGAAAGAAAAAAGAAGAAAGAAAGAAAGAAAGAAAGAAATTAGGGATAAATAAATAAACTCACTTTTCCAAGATGACAGAGTTGGAGGTGGGGCAGTAGCTCAGTATATCCGTGTTGAGGAAAAAGCCAATGCTGTAACACTATGCAGCTGTCACACACTTGACATAAGTTACTCTAGCCTGCCTGCTCATTGCTTTGCAGTTGACCTCTACCAATGGCATGGCCAAGTAATAAAAGCCAGAGATAGTTGCTGAATACAAAATGACCTGGCTAAAACATTCACATATTACTCTTTTTTGCAAAAGAAAAAAGAAAAAAATTGAACTGATCTGACCTAGCATTTTTCATGATAATAACTATAGTTACCTAACCAAGCTGAACGAGCCTTGGAATTCATCTGAGAAAAATTACCAATACTAGGTTCTGGAAACTGGAAGCACGATAAATTTCTGAGTTGGATCTTTTAGAGACAGGATAAAAGCTGAGGTCATCTAAAATTTAATTTAGTGCCTGAAAGTAGGTCTCAAAATGAAAATGATGCTTTACCCTTTTGAAGCAGAATTTTCTGTATCCTGTGTCTCTCGAAACAATTTACTGCATGGATTTCTCTTAGGTCAGCAGGATGGTTAGTCCGAGTTTAAGCCAAGCACAATTCACAGTCAATTTCTGCTCAGATTCATTACTTTTGCAGCTAGCTGTGAGCCTTATTGCATCAGTAGGAGTCAGACTAATATTGCCAGCAGATCATGTCATAATTTGTTAATGAAACTATTCATTACCATTTTTTGCCATTTCTTTATTTGGGATATAATCTGTATCTCCCTTATTAAAATGTGTCAGATATGCTGATGTTCTGTACAACTCAGTTGTATTCTCCTGACTTTATGGATGAAATGAACCTATATAACAAACCTGGGATTACTCTATAAGAATGCCTCTGAGTTAATTATACTTCCTGTTAGCACAAGTCTATTCTAAAATGCACTTAATTGCATTTGCAGACATTTATTTTGAAGTTGGTCAGCATTGGTGGTTTGTGGCTTTGCTCTCAGGAAGAAGGGTGCTACATTTAAATTAATCAATAAAGAATAAATACACTTGAAAAGGAGTTTATGATTTGGTGTTCTTAGAGTGAAGATGTGGGAAGAGAAGTCCTGCAAATGTGAGGAGTCGATTTTACAGAAAATTGAGTCTCGGGTAATTTAGTGACTTTCTCCCACAATGCTCAGTTATTTAATGGTGGAGCTAGGAGTAACCAGTTCTCAGGTGCCCCAGGCCCATTCCCTTTCTACTTTACTATGGGAGTAGGATCTTGCAGAAAAATTTTCTCAATGTAATTTACTTTTCATAAAATAATAATAATTAATGATTTGGTATTTTTAAATTTTTTGTTTAGAAATAATTTAAAACTTGCAAAATAGTTGCATATACAATACACATGACTTTCTGTAGTTTGCCTAAGACATTTAATTTATTAATTATTTTGAAAACAGTTAAGATAAATACCTAAATTTCTTACACTTCATTTGTAGATTGGATAAGTTTTTATTAATTATAATAATATTTAAGTGTATATAAATATAAATATAGGTCTTCTATTAAGTTGAGCCATAATCTTAACATATATTATTTATAAATTTGGTTCTTATAAACTTTAGACAATATTCCATGTATTTGGATTGATAGTTTCACCACTTACACCAACTGCGTACAGTTTTATGATGTCCTCATTTCTGTCAAAGTGTTATTATAAAGTATAATACACATAACTTTCTACGTTTAGATAGATCAATTTTTAACATTTTACAATTGTATGTCACAGACACACAAACACACACTGAAATACCTGAATGAAGAGACAGACAGATGCAGCTAACTTCATATATTTCCCAAGAACAAGAATTCTGGGACAGGCACCATGGCTCACACTTGTAATCCCAGCACTTTGGGAGGCCAAGGCAAGAGGATCTCTTCAGCTTAGGAGTTGAAGGTTACAGTGGCCTATGACCAAGCCAATGTAAGGCAGCCTGGGTGACAGAGCAAGACCCTGTCTCTAAAAATATTAAAAGAAAAGCAAACAAAAGAAAAAAATTCTCTTACAAAACCATAGTACATGTATCCAATTCCAGAAATTTAACATTGATACCATGCTCTTTATTATATAATATACAGTCCATATTCAGTTTTCACAGTTGTTGCAACAATGTTTTTCTGGTCATTCTGTTCTTTTTCCTCCTAAATCTAATCCATGTTAATGTGTTGCACTTAGTTGTCACGTCTCTCTGGCCTCCTTTAATATGGACTAGTTCTCAGTCTTTCTTTGTGTTTCATGACATGGACATTCTTGAAAAACACAGGCCTGCTGTTTTGTAAAATATCTCTCAGTTTGAGTTTGTCTGATGTTTCCTCATGATTACAGTTGGTTTAGGTACTCTTCTGGCAGAAATACTACTTAAATGGCTGTGTGTCCTGTTAAAGCATCACAACAAGAGGCACATGATGTTAGTTTGTCCATTATTGGTAATAAATCTTTGACATTTGGTTAAGCAAGGGGAGGGGGGTCTTCCAGGTTTCTTAGCAGGTTATTTTCAGCACAGCATGAGAAGCAAGAAAGTCTACATGGCAGGAAGTACCTAAAATCCATTTGTGAGCTAAACTAGATGGAATGCTGGCATTAACTAGAGTTAGATGGGGTTCTTTGCAGTGCCAGCCAGTGTGATTCAGCCCTCAGCTTGTACTATTCTCCAGGCCTCCTTCTTCTGCCAAACCCTACGGCCTGATTCAATGACAATCTTTGATGGGGCCTGCTGAGTCACTTTCTTAGGAGCCAATGCTATGTAGGTATTCCTTCCTCTACAGGAATTCAGAAAGTATCATCCCAAAATCTAAAAACACATGAGTTGGATGACACTATGGTCTGTATATCCTGAGTCCTTTATTGATCGGTTGCAGAGATGTTTGACTGATAAACCTGGCTTTAATTGAGCTTACTTATGTAATAGGCCACAATAATAGCCCAAGGAATATATTTCCCAAGGCACTAACCATAGTAACAGGGACCCCTTCCCCTGCCCCATTTCCTTCCCCTGTCCTGTGCTGAGGTAATTGGCTGAATAGAACAGAGCTTGAGCTGGGCACAGGGGCTCATGCTTATAATCCCAGCACTTTGGGAGGCTGAGGCAGGTAGACAGCTTGAGCTCAGGAGTTTGAGGCCAGCCGGGGCAACATGGCGAGACCCTGTCTCTACTAAAATTACAAAAAATTAGCCAGATGTGGTGGTGCATGCCTGTGGTCCCAACTATTCAGGAGGCTGAGGTGGGAGGCTCACTTGAGCCCAGTCGGGTGAAGATTGTAGTGAGTTGAGATTGCCCCACTACACTCCAGCCTGAGTCACAGAGCCAGGCTCTTTCTTAAAAAAGAAAAAAAAAATCGAGAATAGAACTCGAAAAACACAGTTGCAGTTGTTTTCCTCAGGGAGCCATCTCACTCTAATGAAGGTTCTACCTGCTACCCACCCTTATCCCCTGCCTTTCCCCTTACTAAGCTGGGATAATGTTAAACATTTTTTACTTGGCAGAAATATTCATTCTTGATTACAAATCACTGGGTTGTGTGAGAAAGGTGAAGTCATATAAAACTATGGGCCTTCAAAGAGGATACTCCACCCTCTTTGGGGGCTGATTAGAAACTAACATGAATCAAATAAAACAAAATGAATGAAGTAGCTCTCTGTAGAAATGTTTACAGGCCCAACTTCCAAACTTCACAGTTATTTAATCATGGATTGCTATTGGGACTAGAGCTTCTCCCACATTTTAGAATGTTATAGTTAAAAAAGAGTGTTACAAATGATCAACCTGCTAGCTGCCTCAGTTTCTTCATTACAAATGAGAATAACCTGATCTAAAGAGACATGTTTGGAGCAAGCTTGAATTTATTTGGCCTTCTGGTCAAGTCAAGCAGGTTTAGCTTGGAAGAAACTGAATCACACATAAACTAGAAGTGGGGTTGCTCATGGATATGAGACTGTGCCTTGGGAGTTGGTAATAGAGAGGGGTTGTTTTCTCAAAGCCTTTTTGGAGAAAGTCACCATAGGAGTTCCTTGTTCTTCACCCCAAATCTCCATAGTTTCTGCAACTCCACTAAATTCCACATGTCTGCTCCTTTCTGTTTTCTCACCCTCACTCTAACTTTTAATTTCCCCAAAAACTCTGGTAAGAGCGGGGGTAGTACCTTAGCTTGAGTTCTCCCAAAAGATGATCCTGGGAGAAGGGTTTGGATACAAGCAGTTTATTTGGGGGGTGTCTTAGTTTGGGCTGCTAAAACAGATTACCATAGACTGGGTAGCTGAAAGAAAAATAATATTTTTTTCACTATTTTGAAAGCCAGCAGTCTGAAATCAGGATGCCAGCATGGTTGGGTGCTGGTGAGAGCTCTCTTTCTGGTTTGAAAATGGTAGTCTTTTCACAGTATCCTCATATGGTGGAGAGCAGAGAAAGAGGAAAACAACCTCTCTCGTGTCTTCTCAGTGCATTAATCACATAATGAGGGCTCCGCCCTAGTGACCTGATTACCTTCCAAAGGCCTCATCTCCAAATACCATCATACTGAAGATTAGTGTTTCAACATATAAATTTTGAGGGGATACAAACATTCAGTGCATGGCAAGGAGTAATACCAGGAAGCATAGAGGGGAAAAAAGAGAAAGGGGAAGACATTCAATAAAAGGCACATTCATGAGTGAGTTATTACGAGGGAGCTCAATCCACTAGGGACCTGCTGAGAGGCTTTGCTATCTCTCATGCTGCTAATCATGAGACATCATGCCCTAGAATTATCCCTCCAAGAGAAGGAAGGAAATTGGAGAGGTACCCACCAAATTCTGTTCTTCATTTGTGAAAGTCACTTCTAGGTCATTAAATTGCCTGGCCCTTCCTGGCTTGCCCCACAAGTGAGTGTAGCATACTCTTATAGCCAGAGAATGTCCTAAGTCACAGAAATACAGGTACTTAAGGTAAGAAGCCTCTGGTAGTATAGGAACAAGTAACTGTCCACGGAAGTTGCACATGATCTCCTGGATAAGCTGAGAGGTTACAGATGGGGCAACAACAATGAGTGACACTATGGGGAAGGCACCTGAGGCAAGCTGGGCCAGGCAGCTGGTAGGGAAGGTTGGAGTGCCCTAGGCCAACACTTCAGCAAAAACTGTATGCACAGTGATTCCCAAAGACAGGAATTGTGAAAGGACTGGTACGGTAAAACCGGTCTGCTAGTAAAACCGGTCTGCTAGGTGTTTCCGAACAACCTGTGTAGGACCAACCAACCCCCCCGCAACACACACACACTGAGCATACATACACACACTAAAATTCTAGGAAAGCCTCATGCTCACGGTCCATACATTCTATCCTTACATCTTCAAGGAAGCAATAAGTCCATCAGCAGAAGTAATTATTGCAATAGTGTCTTTATTAATAGAATTCTGTCTGTCACTCTGCTCAGTTTTCATTACTTTTTAAGATCATGCTTTGGATGAATTTTTTAAATGACTTCATAAGAATAGAGCAGAACAAATACCCCATGTGGCTTTTGGAAAATCATTCAAGTCTTCTAAATTACATAAAAGAATTTAAAAATATTCAACCCCTATTCATGCTGGGGTGGAAAGGATAAATAAAGCAGCCCTTTTTATTTCCCTCCAGAGTCAAAAACTAATTGAGACATAAAACACAGGAATAAAACAGAGATAAAAAATCACCTTTGTCGAATTAAGATTGAATTGCAGAATGAGACTAGATATGTAGTCATAATGGGCCCCCCAAAACCATGCCCCTAACAATATACCCAAGAATCCAGCCTCCCACTCATAGCAGAAAAACATTCCCTAAGACATGCAGCACATGGAGATTGTAAGAGTGTTTGAATCTTCTGTACAAATTATAAGAGAGAGACAGAGAGACAGAAAAAGAGAAGTAGAGCTGTAGAGCCACACTGTATTATTTGGGTCTTTTTGGAAGCAGACTCTGAGACAGAGTTAGTAGTGCAAACAGTATATGTGGAGGTAAATCTTATGAAAGATGAAAGGGGGAGGAAGCAAAACTGGGCAGGGAAAGTCTTAGACCATGCTGTGGCTATGACACCTATGAAAGGAAAGAGGTGAGAAAGCAAGATTGAGCGAAGGGGAGAAAGTAAGTTTGGGCAGGGCAAGCCTGGGATCTCAATGCAGATTTGACAAAGTCTCAGTCAACACCTAGGGCAGCTCCAAAGCAAATAATTCCTGTTAATTGAGTCCCATATTGGCAGAAACGGTCAGGCCTTAGCATTTCTTCTGTGTTTCCTCATTGGCTAGGCTTCCCGAGAAGAATGTGGCCTTCAAAAGTTGGAGGCTGTCAACTAGCTGCACTCCTTGCAACTGAGTGGCAAATTCTTTCCTGAGAGGTTCTGCAAGTGCCACACCTGAATGGCTGCCATACACATCTACTTTGTTCCTTTTCTTACTGTTTCTGATCAGAAAAGTTGTGCTTCTTCACTACTGGAAAGGAATAGACAAAGGAGCAGAGAGAGGCTGGCAGTGTTACCAACATGTGTTTAGTTCTCAGGGAATGAAGTGGAAACATACATACACACAAAAATACATATTAAGTAGAAGTCCTTTATGGATACATGAGGCATATGAAATAATTCGCGTCCCTTACCCCTTGCCACAAATAACACATAATCCCACTTCTCTTCTAAGGCAGGTGGGTCCTATTAACTGGAGAACCCTTTATGTTGATGAGCTGGAGAGCTAAGTGGGGCTCAACTGCATATCACAATGGAAGAGAAAAGAAGTGAGGGGAAGGATGAAGAGAATGGAGCCTATAACGGTGAGCATTGTATGAAGGACAGAGAGAAAATCGTTGTATCAGGAAGGCCAAGAAGGGACTTGGGAGAATATAAATGTCAATTGAAATTTTTAAGTTGATTGCTTTGAGGAAAATGATGTGAACTCTTTCTTGGCCTCTACTGTGAAATGTTAAGAAAGTCTACATTGTCCTGAAATGCTTTTGTGAAAGTGGATTTTTCACAGGATGCCCAGGAAGGTATTGACATTTATGTCTGAATGAATATGCCATGCAGCAAAGCCAAGTGGCTGAGATAGTAATCTACCTTGGGTCTGCATGGTGCCAAAGCCCATGAGCTCAACTGTTAGGCTTAGACTGCTGTTGGTTGGCACAAAGTTAATGGAACAGCCTAAGAACTTTGCCCTGGACATGCCAGCATTGTGGAGTTCCTCATTTATGGGGTTGTGTTCCAAAACTAGGGTGTGTCCTCAGAGAGTGTGTACACACTCTTGTTTTCCATAGTTACTCCCACAGGCCAGCCTTTGGCTGCCTCTAGCAATAAATATGGCAAGAGAGCACAGATAGTACACTGAATCGCCAAGGCCAAATAAGAGTGGGGTGAGGTTTGGTCCACTTTCAGTCCCAAGCCCCATGATTCCCAAATATTAAAAAAGATATTAGTAAACAAAATATAAAACAATTTGAAAAAGCTATATTCATGACAATTCTAATATGTTCTATCTTGGGATTATACCAACTATGGTTAAGGGAAACTATTTCACAAAATGGATTAACTGTTAAAAATATGTGTTAATGCCTATCCAATATCATGGAGAGGAAGGTTGGTTGGATTTACAGGAGCAGTTCTATTTATTCAGAAAAAAAATCCTGTAATAGAAAATTTACTCAGTAAGCTGTGCTACCTTATGAATATCATTTGGGAGAAAACAAGTCTAACAGATGCTGTTGGTGCCCTCCCTCCATAGCCCCTTGGCATTTACCATGTTCATACATGCTGTCCAACTTCCAGCTGCCAGCACCTACAACCCTCAGCCTGAAGCCTTTCTTTGGACACTGGAGATCTTTCTGATCCTCCCCACAAGCAACCCCCAACCAATTATGGATCGAGTTACTGGATAAATATCCCAGCTCCCTTGTGCCATGACTGGTATAAATCAGAGGCACGTTCTCCCAGGGAGATTATGTTCTCCTTGACTTTGGTGATCTTGCTTAATAATGCAAATTTTATTGGCTTCTTTCCATTCCTTGTTTTTATTTCTCTATTTCCTTAATGATAGTTGCTGGGATTATCTGCCAAATAAATTACTTACATTTAAACCATTGCCTCAGAGTCTTCATTTTGCATTACCATACAGGACTACCCGAGACTGGGTAATTTATAAAGCAAAGAGGTTTACTTGGCTCATCACTCTGCAGAGTGTACAAACATGGGGCCAGCATATTCATGGTTTCAGTTGAGGCCTCCGGAAGCTTCTACTTTTTGGCAGATTGCAAAGGGGGAGGAGGCATGTCACATGGTGAGAAAAGGAACAAGAGAGAGAGGAGAAGGTAAGAGGCTCCTTTAAACAACCACCTCTCCCATGAACTAATAGAGCAAGAACTCACTCATTACCATGGGGAGGACCCCAAGCCATTCATGAGGGATCCACCTCCATGACCCAAACACTTCCACCAGGCCCCACCTCTAACATTGCATATCACATTTCAACATGAGATTTGGAGGGGACAAATACCCAAACCATATCAGGGTCACTTCTGTAAGAACACAAACCAAAACATTTCATTTGCCTCACCTGTTGCTTACTAAACAAACTTCTGATTTGAAGTTGAGCTTCTCTAGTGGCCAATTTCTGATGAAAGATGCAGTAATAATGTGTCCCGCTTATATGAGTCCTATTGGTGGCTGATTAATGACTTGGAAATATTGTTGGTGTGAGTCAGTCTTCTAGAACAGGGAATGGCAAACTATAGCCTGTAGGCTAAATCTGGCCGGCCTTTAAATTTTGTAAATAAAGTTTTATTGGAACACAGCCACATCTACATATAGTCTGTGGCTACTTTCACACCACAGCACCAGAGTTAAATAGTTGTGACAAAGACAATATGGCCTGTAGATTGTAAAATATTATACTTTATAGAAAAAGTCTGCTGATCACTCACGGAGAAGCTGTTCACCTTTGGGTTCACTGAGAAAGTCAAACCTGTAGATTTATAAATATGAGGGTCAGAACTTGGACCAATGGCATCTCACCAAGTGGCAGCCCAGTGAGACTCTCAACTTAAAATATAGACTGGTCACCACCTACTCAATTCCTTCCAGTGTTTGATTATGGCATGGTCAGAATTCTAGGAATTCTTGTCCATGTCTTGGGAATTCTAGGGTAGAGAACAGAAGGAGGGCATTGGCTAGACGGGAATATTAAGAAAGTGTCTTTTAAATTGAGGTTCATCAACACACTTTAAGCAAACTTCTCTCCAGAAAACTTCTTTTTTTTATTGACCTAGTTCTTGCTAATCATCCCCTCATGCTGTACCCTCTTGGTCCTTACAGGCTTAGCATCAATTATTAATTAATTTGAAATTGATCGATGAGGTCCTCTGTAGATTATTCTAAGCTATGCCACAATTCTAGCTAGCTCAAGCTTCTTCAGCATAGAGACTATTTATATTGTCAACATCCTAGCCCCCAACAATTGATAGCATAGTATTTTGTATACAGCAAATGTTCAGTAAATTATTAGACTGTCCAACATCCACCACACACAGACTTCTATAGATGAGACAAAATGATAATCAAACTGGAATCATTTGTCAAATATGAAATAATTTTACATAATGTCTCTAGAGTGATAAGGAATGTAGGCTTCAAAAATGCTAAAGAAATGTATGAAATCCCTAGCCTTGGCCATGCAGTGTTATTTTTGACATTGAAGTGGAAGAAATTGCTAAGTCACAAATTTCAAAAGCGACCCCTTCCTGAGTAAGTAATAACAAAGCTAACAAAGAAAGAAAGAATATATGTGACCCATTTGGGAAATTAACCAGATTGCATGAACTTTATGTCTTGTAAAAAATCCTTCTGAGTAAAGACTAATTACTAAAAATATATTTTTGTTCAGTTATCCACAATCTAGTTGGTGGATAAAACAGGTAGGCCAATAATAATATTCCAAGGAACATTTAGACATTGGAAAGAATAACCTTGCACTATAATAACTAGTTCCACTACCTCACTTCTACTCATTCTTTAATCCACTGTGATCTGACTTTTATTTTCAATTAAGTTCAACTTATCATTTTTAATTTCCTGTTTATATATATACTAGGGCTTAATGAGAGAAAAAATTCCTGCATTTCCTGCACTCCAGTGTTCTACAGCCTATTAAAAGATCCAGGCATATGAAGAAACAATTGCCATACAGAGTGGCAAGTGCCATTAACAAGAAATGTAGTATAAATGGAGGTAAGACAAAGGAGAAGGTGATCAGCTGTGTTTGAGGGTGGCTCTTAGGTTGGCTGGTCAAGTCAAGTCACTGCCTTGACATTTGGGGGCATTTATTCTACTTTATATTTATTCTACTTTATATTCAATATCACAAATTTGACCTTCAGCTTTGACCTTATGTTTTTCAGTCCTTCTTTTGAGCTGTTTTTTTAACCAGCTTTAATGGAAGAAATGGTACAATTGAAGGGCAATATGCAGGAAGTCACCCCGTATCTGTGGGGAAGGCAGCCTAAGGCTCAGCCTATTATCCGTGTCACTCAGGGTGAGCTTGCCAAAGAGGTACTCTGCCATACTGTCCCCCAGAGCCCCCAGCTTGCTGCCCAGAAGCAAGAATACTTAGCACTTGCATGTTTTAAAAAGATAACTTTTCATGTCAAGTTAAAGACTGTATTATTTTTATCCCTGCCCAATCTCATTCCCTTCCTTCCCTTCTTCTCCAGAGGCAAACGCTAGGATGAATTCCATACCATGTTTTACACCGTACCATGCATACGGACCCACAGATACCATGGCCCAACACAGCACACCCCACCCGAACCCACCCACCCCACACATCTCACCCCACCGTACCCCACCTCACCCCACCCCATCCCACACGCCCTCAGAGTTTATAAGGGGAAGACTAATGTATTTTCCAGGGGCCCATAAAATACCTTTCCCCTCCACCCCCGCAGATCCTGAGCTGCATGCAGATGGGGCAGAGCTGAATGGAAAGACTGCTGAATACCTACTTTAAATCTGCATGGGGATGTGCCCTGATTCCTAAAAGGTGAGAGTGCTGCAGACACACATCGGCTGGACACCTTTATTGCTTTGAGAACAGATAACTTTATTGTTAACAATGGTCAAACTGAGAGGAGAAAAATGAAGAGAATGTTCTGAAAAGGCAACATGGACGTCCCGCCTGGTGGCGCGAGCAGGGGAAGGCACCCCATGGCTGAGGGGCCTGTCTGGGCTCAGGTGTGTTTCTGGCTGCGGCCCAGGGTGAGCTTGTTAAAGAGGTACTCTGCCAGGCCTGCTTCCGGGGACCCCATCTTGCGCAGGTTGCTCAGGTAGCCACCCAGCTCTTTGATGGTCTTGGCCTGCTGGTTCAGGAAGTGGTTCTCCAGGAAGTCGCAAAGCTGGGGGTCGCCGTTCTCCTTGGCCAGCTGGTGCAGCTCCAGGAGGCTCTGGTTGATGTTCTTCTCCAGGTGGAAGGCGCACTCCATGGCCTTGAGCCCGCTCTCCCAGCCTTGGCCCTCTGGCTTCCCGACGTCATGAAGGCAGATGCGGCCACCGCGCAGGTTGTGCAGCCTCATCAGCTCCTGGGCGTGCTCCCTTTTCTCCTGCAACTGGCACAGGAAGTAGCAGTCAAAGTGCTCCAGGGCCGCGTCGTCCTGGTCGAAGTAGAAGGCCATGGACAGGTACACATAGGATGCGTGGAGCTCCAGGCTGATGTGGGTGTTGATGGCAGCCTCACAGCTGGGGTGGTGGTACCGTTGCACCTGCGACAGCGGGCCCAGGGCGGGCAGCGCGGGCGCTGGGAGGAGGGGAAAAGCAGTGGGTTTGCCAGGGGCCCGGAGCGGGTAGCGGCATCGGCGTGGGCAGTGGCGGCAGCGGTGGGGTCCTCGGAGCACCACCATGGTGGACGACAGCGGCGGCTGGTGGAGGGCGGGGTCCTCCGGGCCCGGCGGTAGTGTGGTCGCTGATTCTGTGAAGGGACCAGAAGTGGGCGGTGGAGACCGTTATGGGGGGAGGGGCGCACGAGGTCGGGCGGGTGTGGGCTGGTGCGGAGCCATGCGGGACTTCCGACAGGTGGGGGTGGGGGAGCACGCTGAGTTCCATCGGCAGCCCGGGGAACTGGGCGCTATCAGACCTCTGCGCTACGTCAATTCTGCAGTAACTTTTCTAGTGTGCAAGGACTTTTGCCTGTCCCCTGATTGTTCCCCTCTATGACAGCTTGTTCTCATTTTATAAACCTCTTGTCTTTCTTAAACTCTGAGAGTATGTTCTGGTAACGTTTTCTTCTGTTTCCTGTATTATATCCTTTTTTTCCCTCCTCTAGAATTAGTTCTATTTGTGCATCTTCCTCACTTTCCTTAAATATCTGGAAAACGTTTGTCTATTCATGATTGGAATCAAGGACTGGGTTAGCCTCAGTGATAAGCATGGATCGAATGCACAGCTGTGAGTCTGGGTGACCAGTAGGATTCTCCCATGAACAGGAGGGTGGAGTGTGTTAATTAGGGAGTGCTCATCTCCTTTGGAGATAAAGGTATAGAGCTCCCAGGCAGAGTAGGAACTATTCTAAATGCCCAAAGCATGGCATTTCTCTGGCACTGGAAAACTTTAGTGGATCTGTCTTCTAGGTAGATGTCAACTTCCCTTTAAATGCTCACCCATGTCTGCTGCACCCTGAAGCTTAATTCTTTCTGCAGGAGAGATGACTCCACATGATAAGGAATGTGATTTCAGATATGTTTTCAGGATCAAAGCTTAAACACCAGAGTAAAGACTCTGTTTTTAAAATTTATCTCGAAAAGCCCTCTATGTTCACAGTTTTAGGTACTCAATAACTAATCCCTGTGTCTTCCCTGCTGAATTTGAAACCAATTAGTAGACACAGGACTCAGCTCACTGAAGAGCAAGCTTACGTCTGTAGCAAAATGAACTTGCTAGTACTTTTCAAATCTTCCAATTAGAGAAACTCACTGTGGCAGAATGACTTCATCAAAACTTATTTGTTTTCATCTTGATCCACAGGTAACCATACGTTTTGAGCTACCCTTGTGATTTGATGGGGTCTTGTACTGATTTCTGGCTATTGGAATATGAAAATAACTGGTGTATGGCCAAATAAGGCCTAGTTTATAGGACACACCCTGTGCAATCCATGTCTCAAGTGAAGAAGAGGAACAGACCCTACAATATGACATATCCACTTTGGAGAAGGAGCCTGGAACTTTGGATAACATATGGACAATGTCCCCTCATCACTGTCACCACCAACCTGCACTGGACCTTGATAAAAACAGAAAAATAAAAATTTACTTTAAAAGCTAAAAAGATTTGGAACATTTGTTACAGGAGATAGCCTCTCCTGACTAATCAAATTAGCTAGTCAAAGAAGGTACTGGATAACCACAGGCTGTTATCCAGTCCTGTAGGGTCCTATAGACTTATGGCAATGGAGTGCATTCCAGAACACACCCTGTCAGTGGGAAGGCAGATGAGGAAAAGGAGAGGTTTAGATAGCTCTGGGTCATCACACTTTCTTCCTTTTGCTTACTACACTATACACACACACACACACACACACGCATATCTCAATCACTCTCCTTTTTTTCCTTCTGGAGAGTGAAATGTAAAATCCCTCATTGGCCAGTGTGGCAGGTTACCTCTGTAATCTCAGCACTTTGGGAGGCCAAGGCAGGCAGATTGCTGGAACCCAGGAGTTCAAGTCCAGCCTGGGCAACATGGCAAAATCCACTCTCTACAAAAAAAAAAAAAAAAAGAAAGAAAAAAAACCACAAAAAATTAGGCATGGTGGCACACACCTATAGTCCCAGCTACTCAGGAAACTGAGGTGGAAGAATTGCCTGAGCCCAAGAAGTCGAGGCTGCAGTGAGCCGTGATCCCACCACTGCATTCCAGCCTGGGCGACAGGAGTGAGAGACTTGGTCTCCAAAAGGAAAAGAAAAAAGAAAAATCCCTCATGGACTCTTGAGGATCAAGGAAAAATGTTTTCCTTCTGCCTCGATGTCCTGGAATAAAATCAGGCTGGTCCTTGGGTACCTAAACTTAAGCCAGGAACACAAAGCACAGGGGCAGAGATCACGACTGTCTGACCTCAGAACCAGTCAGCTGTAGTGAGGAAGGTGGGACATGTAATGATATAAAGCTCTCCTGGAACCGCATACCTGCAATCTGTGTTTGGGTGGAGCACTTCCCCAGACAAGGGGAGTGATAGTTCCAGGACTGGTGGTGGAAGGCTAACCAGGTGGTACCACAGATAGTACCATTCAGTCTTCCCTACTAAGCCATGAAATCTGCAGAGTTAGGAGGTTCCCACATCTGTCTTTGCTTCCCACACTACACCATGCCAGCGCTTAGCACATTCTTCTCCTTTGGAAAGGAGTATAGTGAGGAAGAAGCAACAAAAGTGGGCTAGGAAAGCAAAAGAACAAATTGTTGAAGGTATCTGTGGGAGTGAAAGTGGCGCCAACTCCCAACTACTAATGTGAAATGCCTTTGGGCAGCATGCTGCCTCAATGCTCTGTGTGAGGCCCAGGGTTCAGGGGCATGGCCACAATGAGCACTGGTTAATAAAGGTGTCTAGGAAGCCAGTCTAAGCTCTTTCACCAGAGAAGTAGATGATTTAATGAGTCCGTACCAGACTAGATGATTTCCAAAATCCTTGGGAATCCTCACTATTTTGTGCGGTAGGAATTGTTTTTGTTATTGTACCCATGAGAAATCTGTTATCCTAAATATAAAGCCCTTGCCCAAGACGATACAGAATTCAAGAATTCACTGTCAGGGCTGATGCTCAACTAGAACTCTGGGACCACAGTCAAGTTTTCAATGAAATGCTGTATAATTAGGTTGCTGGGTCATATAATTTCTCATGGCCTCTCTCTGCTTTAGTGAGAACAAAGACATGTAGAGAGAACCAGTAAGTAGCTGCTGTGATTCCACAGCAACATAAACTACCGCCCTCTCTTGCCAAGTGTTCCTGGGACAGCCCTTTCTTCTGGCAAGGTCAAGTTTCTCCTATGCAACTTCACAGAACAAATACCCCTTGTTCAATTTCTACTGGGAAATGAGTTTAAGTAAATTGTTTTTAAAAATGTGAGGCTATAGTATGAGATAGAACACAGCTTTTCCTCAGGAGGCTGCCAAGCCTCTCTTCATGGATGGGATGAGGAGTTTAGGCTTTTTATCTCTCCCCTGATGTGCTGATCCCTACTTTAGGATTGTGATTAATTTAAATACTGTGTGTCTACATTTTAGGTGACATTTCTTTATAAAGTGTTGGTCCCCCACCCTTGTGCAATGGGGATAATCTGCATTGAACTATAAGAGTACAGCTGATGCTTGGATTGCCTTTCCTGGTAGGATTAAAATACATTTTATTTAGCACCCTACTCCTTCTCCAAAACTCTTGTTCCTTGGTCAATTTTCTGAATAACTGGTGCTATCTGTGTCTGATTATTTCTAACTTGACTGTAATTATGTGACTTCTCATGAAGATGTTCTTCCTTCCTCCATCTCTTAACAATTTGCTGCACAGAAATCCCAAAAAATTATTTACTGGTTATAGACACCTCTTTGGCTTATGTAGACCAGCAATTCTCAAACGCAATCCATAAGTCTCCCCACTGAATTTTTGAGTCTGTTGGTGCAGGGTGGGGGTGATATGAAAGACAATTTTCAGGGTCCACATTCTTCATTTAATGTTCAGCAAGAGAATCAGCTTCATTTCATCCAGAAACTAGCACACAGAGCAATGGGAATCATCACTGATCCTAAATGCTCTCCTGATAGTTATTTTATGATTGAGTCCATGTGCTTCAAAACTCAAATGCTTTCATTGCATGTTTTATTCTAGAAGGATTTCAAATGGATGACTCTGTCACTCATGGTAGGTGACAGTGACCCTTTCATGGAGAGTTCTAGTCTAGCAGTGGCCCTAGTGCCTCTTTACTGCTTCTCAAATCACCCATTTTATCCAATGAAGAGTGTGGAAGAGGAGTGATATGGTTTGGTTCTGTGTCCCCACCGAAATCTAATCTCAAATTGTACTCCCCACATGTTGAGGGAGAGACACGGTGGGAGTGATTGGATCATGGGAGCAGTTTCCCCCATTCTGTTCTCGTGATAATGAGGGAGTTCTCACAAGATCTGATGGTTGTAAAAGTGACAGTTTCACTTGCACTTTCTCTCTCTCCTGCTCATGTAAGATGTGCCCTGTTTCCCCTTTGCCTTCTGCCATGATTTTGTTTCCTGAGGCGTCCCCAGCCATGCAGAACTGTGAGTCAATTAAACCTCTTTTGTTTATAAATTACTCATTCTCAGGTAGTATCTTTATAGCAGTGTGAGAATGGACTAATATAGATTACTGGTACTGTCAGAGTGGGGTACTGCTATAAAGATATCCTGAAAATGTGGAAGCAACTTTGGAACTGGGTAACAGGCAGAGGTTGGAACACTTTGGAGGGCTCAGAAGAAGACAGGAAGATGTTGGAAAGTTTGGAACTGCCTAGAGACTTGTTGAATGGTCTTGATCAAAATGCTGATAGTGATATGGACAATGAAGTCCAGGCTGAGGTAGAAAAGAAAATTGCATTTTCTGGAGAGAAATTCAAGCTGGCTGCACAAATTTGGATACGTAACAAGGAGCCACATGTTAATAGCCAAGACAATGAGGAAAATGTCTCCAGTGCATGTCAGAGATCTTCACAACAGCCCCTCCCATCATAGGCCTAGAGGCCTAAAGGGGAAAAATGGTTTCATGAGCAGGGCCCAGGGCCCTGCTTCTCTGTGCAGCCTCAGAGCATGGTGCCCTTCATTCCAGCTGATTCAGTTCCAGCTGTGGCTAAAAGAGGTCAAGGTACAGCTCAGGCAGTTGCTTCAGACAGTGCAAGCCCCAAGCCTTGGTGGCTTCAACGTGGTGTTGGGCCTGCGGGAGCACAGAAGACAAGAGTTGAGCTTTGGGAGCCTCTGCCTAAACTTCAGAGGATGTATGGAAATGACTGGATGTCCAGGCAGAAGTCTGCAAGGCTGCTGCAGGGGTGAATCCCTCTTGAAGAACTCTACTGAGGCAATACAAAGGGGAAATGTGGGTTTGGAGCCTGCACACAGAGTCCCCACTGGTGCACTGCCTAGTGGAGCAGTGAGAAGAGGGCCACCATCGTCCAGACCTTGGAAGGGTAGATCCATCATCAGCTTGTACTGTGCACCTGGAAAAGCTGCAGGCACTCAATGCCAGCCTATGAAAACAGCTGCGGAGCTGTGCCCTGCAGAGCCACAGGGGCAGAGCTGCCCAAGAGCATGGAAGCCCACTCCTTGCATCGGCATGCTCTGGATGTGAGACATGGTGTCAAAGGAGATTTTGGAGCTTTAAGATTTAATGACTGCCTGGGCAGGTTTTGGACTTGCATGGGGCCTCTGGCCTCTTTGTTTTGGCCAATTTTTTTCCACTTGCATGGGAAAATTTACCCAATGCTTGCACTCCCATTGTGTCTTGAAAATAACTAGCTTCCTTTTGATTTTACAGGCTCTTAGGCGAAAGGCACTTGCCTTGTCTCAGATGAGACTTCGGGGTTGGACTTTCGAGTAAATGCTGGAAAGAGTTAAGATTTTGGTGGACCATTGGGAAGGCATGGTTGGTTTTGCAATGTGAAAAGGACATGAGATTTGGGAGGTTCCAGGGGCCCGGTGATGTGGTTTGGCTCTGTGTCCTTCCCCAAATCTCATCTCAAATTGTAATTCCCCCGTGTTGAGGGAGGGACCTGGTGGGAGTGATTGGCTCCTGGGGGCAGTTTCCCCAATGCAGTTCTCATGATAGTGAAGGAGTTCTCATGAAATCTGACGGTTTTAAAAGTGGCAGTTTCCCCTGCACTCTCTCTCTCCTGCTGTGTGTAAGATGTGCCTTGCTTCCCCTTCAGCTTACACCATGATTGTAAGTTTCCTGGAGCCTCCCAAGCCATGCAGAACTGTGAGTCAATTAAACCTCTTTTGTTTATAAATTACCCAGTCTCAGGTAGTGTCTTTATAGCAGTGTTAGAATGGACTAATACAAACAGCCACAGGAGGAAACTGAGCAGCAGACATCTTGGTGGTGGAGCTTGCTCTCCATAAACATGCCACACCTTTTTTACATCCTCTAAGGCAGGGATTGGTCACTAAAATAATAGATGGAACAAGGGTATCCTCCAAAGACATAAGGGTACAATGTGAATTTTTAAGAGGAAAAATATTGCCAATTTCTTGTAACCTTTGACTGTCAAATTATACATGGCATATGACCCAATCTTTGGGCTGTACACTCTGGTAGAGAGAGGATGTGGGCAGCAAGGCATTTTCAGAGTTATTGCAGGTAGGTTGCAAATCCATATTTTCACTGAGCCTTGTCTGAGGTCTGAATGATGGCTCACAATTAACTGCTATTTTCATAAGCATATAGATGCTCTTGTGATGAAGAACATACAAATTTATTTAAAAATTCCTTGCAGACAGCTACCCATACATTGTTGGTCTACCCTGGGGTCAGCTGGAGAGAGTTCCTGCACTCTCTGCTCAAGGGTTTTCTCTGTCCCACAAGGGAATAATGCTCATACCTTGGAGGTCAACCCTCAAGAGAAGAGTAACAGAAGTTTCCACGTCAATACTCCAGGTTCTTTGCCTTGGATGGGACACTTCTGAGGTGTGTGCCTGACTCATTCTATGGCTCTCCAGTGGTACTGAGCCCCAGTTTCTCGCAGCAGCCATCTGGTTGCCTATTGCTTGTTCTTACAAATGTTATGTCCTGTGTTATCATGACAGTGATTAACAATACATAATTTTGAGCAGATGGGATGATAGGCTCTAAATAGTGTGTAAAGGATGAGATAATCAAGGGCATGTATGAAAGTACATCTTTCAAGGGTCTTTGGACCCACATGCTAAAAGTGAGTCACATTACTGATTAATATACCAGATGCCAAGTATCAACTGCACCCACCCGCCTGCCATCAATCATCACCATCAAGAAGTGCCACAGAATTCAAACTTCTGGTCTGGGGCTTTCACAGGAAAATGTGACATGACTGAATCTTCACAGAGAGGAGAAGAGAGGAAGGGGATGGTGCTGATAATGGTTGAGGGCCTGAGTTATATTGTCTCTGGGGAGGGAACAGATACTTACATGGGAGAAAAGATCTTGAGGGTATAGAGAAGCATATCACATTTTATCAGTTGGGTCTGTCAATTATGTTTACAGTTAAGAAACAAACACATTTCCTAGACTCTTTCATTTTAATAAATAGGCTTTCAATTATATTTTGTTATTTCCAAACTCAGTGTTAATTTTTTTACTCATTGATACTGGTAAACCTGTGGCTTTGTAGAACATGGTAAGGATTAAGTGGCCATCAACCTCATCTTAGATTGGTTGTTTTAGAAAAGAAAAGCTTGTAAAGTTACATCTTCTTTTCTAAGTGGGCTGGGAATCATTGCTTCTCATCTGTTTCTGGAGTCTTAATTGCCAGAAGCAGCGTTATGAATAAAGTTAACCTTGGAAAATAAATTTGAATCCTTTTTTATATTGTCAGTTAACAATTCAAAGAATTGGAAAAACATGTTTTCTTTATACAAAACAAATCTACATATTTTCTTAGTTTCTCCAACTCTCTCTGGAAGCTGTTTTTGTGTGCAATAAAATATTTATGCATTTTTGTGTTGATGTATTATCTTATCAGGAGTGGTAAATATTTCCTTAAGGTTAAGTCATTCAACAAAGATGATATTTAAATATTGGAAAAAGTTACGAGGGAAGCCACTGGCATCTATTTTAAATATAGTATAAGATAAACTCACTTCTTTTGAAAGCTATTAGTGTGAGGAAGAATAAACTAAAATTAATTCTCAGTTTATTTTGGCTAGTAGTACAAAAAAGACTTACTGAATTTAAAACTTCATATTAAACTCAGTAACAAATGTAAAACATCTATAAGCAATGGTTTTTGCAATACTTGAGTGTTGAAACTATGTTTGTGTATAATGATCTTCTGTGTTTTACCTAAATTACATTTTAGGAACATGAATTGTTTCTTAATTATGAAAATTTCAAAACATATAATAAATTCCCATGTTTCCTTCTCACAGCTTCAACAATTACTAACTCAGGTCGATCTTTCTCCCCTTCTACCTGATATATTATTTTGAAGAAAATCTAGAACATTGTATCATTTCATTCATAAATATTTCATGACACATTTCTCAAAGTGAGAATTTTTATAGTAAAAATTATCATGCTGCTTTTTTTTCAAATTATGAATTTGTGATCATAAAGGCAAAACAATCACTTTCAAAGGTGAAAACTTTGCTGTTAGAAAGAGTGTCAGGCCAGGCCTGTAACCCTAGCACTTTGGGAGGCCGAGGCGGGCGGATCATCTGAGGTCAGGAGTTCGAGACCAGCCTGGCCAACATGGTGAAACCCCATCTCTAATAAAAATACAAATACAAAAATTAGCCAGGAGTGGTATCGTGCACCTGCGCCTGTAATCCCAGCTACCTTGGAGGCTAAGGCAGGAGAATCGCTGGAACCCAGGAGGCAGAGGATGCAGTGAGCTGAGATTGTGCCACTGCACTCCAGCCTGAGCGACAGAGTGAGACTCCGTCTCAAAAAAAAAAAAAAAAACAAGAAGAGGAAAAGAAAGAAAGTGTTTGTATTTTATTCTGGGTAGATGGTTTTTGTTGAGAGAATGCTTTATGTCAACTAGCAGTTATGTGAGACACAGCTTTAAAGAGCAAAGCACTGCATTCAGCAGAAGATCACAAGCTATGCTTTCTTCCATTTTGATTAGAAAAATAAAATGGCAGAATTACATACAAGACAACATGGAACTACTAAAGTACTTTTTCAAGTTGCTTTTATGTTTGATTTGTTAAGGAAAAACAAAAAGAACTTGAAGATTCCCTTTGTAAATATGAAGAAGGTGACTTGTGAAACTAATCTAGCCATAAATTGATCCCAGGAATACTGGTTCTTCGGAGATTCCTATTGCTGTTCCAAGAGTACAAGTTCTATATCAAGGAGTGCTTCCTAATGGTTATGGATTTGTGAAAAATGTACCATAAAAAGTTCAGCTCTTTATTTTTCATGAAATGGGTATCCTATGGCATACTTTCTAGAAATATCATGATTGTCAATGCTATTTAGTCATTATACTTAAGTATTTGATACTTTTTTTTCTACATGAAGTTTATGGATATATTAAGTTTGAACCCTATGAAATTCCTAATTTGTCAGTTTATTTTTCGGCAGTAAAGTCCCTTTAGCATTTCCTGCAGAGCAAGTGTACTAGTGAGGATCGCTGTTGAAATTTGTTTATCTTGGGATGACTTATTTTTTGATTTCTTTGAAGGATACATTGTGGAATGTAGAATTCTTCATCAGCAGTATTTTTCTTTCAGCACATTGAATATGTCATCTTCCTACCTCTAGGCCTCTGGTATAGTTTGAATATATGTCCCTGCAAAATCTCACTAACCTGTGCCCCAGTAACCTGTGCAGCCTCAGGACACTGCTCCCTGCATCCAGGCTGCACCAGCTCCAGCCTCAGCTCAGATGACCCCAGACACAACTCCAGATGCTACTTCAGAGGGTGCAAGTCATAAGCCTTGGTGACTTCCACATGGCATTAAGCATGTAGGTGTGCAGAGTGCAAGACTGAAGGATGCTTGGCAGCCTCCACCTAGAATTCAGAGGATGAATGGAAAAGCCTGAGTGTCCAGGCAGAAGTCTGCTGCAGTGGCACGGCAGTGCGGAGGGGAGATGTGACATAGGAGCCCACACACAGAGTACCCGCTGGGACACTGCCTAGTGGATCTATGGAAAGGGCACACCATCTTCCACACCCCAGAATGGTAGAGCCACAGGCAGCTTGAACCTTGTGCCTGGAAAAGCCACAGGCACATAACAAGCTGTGAAAGCAACCATGGGTCCTGAATCCTGCAAAGCTACAGGAGTGGAGCTGCCAAAGGCCATAGGAGCCCATCCCCTGCACCACTGTGCCCTGGATGCACAGTATATAGTATAAGGAGACTATTTTGAAGCTCTAAGATTTAATGAGTTCCCTGCTGGGTTTTGAACTTGCATGGGGCCTGTAGGCCCTTTCCTTTGGCCGATTTCTCCATTTTGGAATGGGAGTGCTTACACAATGCTTATACCGTCATTATATCTTGGAAGTAAATAACTTGTTTTGATTTTGCAAGCTCATAGGAGGAAGGAGATGAGTCTCAAATAAGATTTTGGACTTTCATTTGGGACTTTTAATTGAGTTGATATCAGCTGGAAGGAGTTAAGACTTTGGGAGCCTGTTGGAAGTTATGATTGTATTTTGCAATGTAAGAAGAAAATAAGATTTGAGGGGCCAGGGGCAGAATGATATAGCTTAAATATATGTCCCCACCAAATCTCATGTTGAATTATAATTCCCAGAGGTACATGTGGGACCTGGTGGGGGGTGTTTTGGTCATGGGGGTGGATCCCTCATGGCTTGCTTCTGTCCTTGCAATAGTGAGTGAGTTCTCATGAGATCTCATTGTTGTAAAGTGTGATGCCTCCCCCAACCCTCTCTTGCACCTTTTCTGGCCATATGACCTGCCTACTTCCAGTTTGTCTTCTGCCATGAGCTAAAGGTCCCTGAGGCCTCTCCAGAAGCCAAACAGAAGCCAGTGCCATCCTTGTCCAGTCTGCAGAACCATCAGCCAATTAAACATCTTTTTAAATAAATTACCCAGCCTCTGATATCCCTTTATAGCAATGAAAACAGACTAATACAGCTTCCAGACTTTCTGTTGAGAAATCAGCTGTTAATATTATTGATCATCCTGTGTATGTGAAGTGTAACTTCTATTTTGCCGCTTTCAGGGTTTTTTCATTGTCTTGTCTTTTTTACCTTTTGTTTATAGTGTCTTGGTGGGGATATCTCTGATTTTTCCCTACATGGAATCTATTGGATGTGTAAATCAACATATTTCATTATATTTAATAAGATATTGACTGTTCTTTCCTCAAATATTCTTTATATCCCTTCATATTCCCCTTTTTATCTCTTTCCAGAACTCCCTTTATGTATGTTTTGGTACACTGGATGGTTTCCACAAGTACTCTGAGCTTCGTTAATTTTACTTCATTCTTTTTTTTCTTCCAGATTCTCAGACTAGATAATCTCAACTGACCTTTCTTGGAGATTGATGATTCTCTCTACTTCTTATTCAAATTTGCTATTGACTCCCTCTACTGAAATTTTCATTCCAATTGTTATCCTTTTCCATTCCAGAATTTCTATTTTGTTCCTTTTTTATCATTTCTATTTTCTTATTGGTATTATGTATTTGATGAGACATCATTCTCATGGTTTTCTTTTCTTCTTTCTAAATGATGTTCTTTAATATTTCAAAAAGTTGATTTAAAATATTTGCTTAGTAAATCCACTGACTGGATCTCCTCTGAGACAGTTTCTATTGATTTCTTCTTTCTCATGTATGGGCAATACTTTTTGTTTCCTGATATGATTTATATTCTTTTGTTGAAAACTGGACATGTTTAACATTATTAAGTGGCAATTCTAGAAATCATATTCTCCCTCAGCCCATCTGCTATTATCTAAATGCCCTCCAAAATGTAGTGTTGAAACTTAATGGCCAATGTGGTAGTATTAAGAGATGAGGCCTTTAGGATGTTACTAAGTGGTGAGGGTAGATTCGTCATCACTGGTACTAGTGACCTTTAAAAAGCACTGGAGGGAACTAATCCTTTGATTCTTCCATCTTTCTGCTATGTGAAGACATAGAGTTCATCCCTTTTATCATTTTTTGCTCCTTCTGCCATGAGAGGACACAGCAAGAAGACCCTTACTAGATGCCTAATTCTGGAGCCTTGATCTTGGCCTTCCCAGCCTCTACAAATATAGGAAATACATTTCTGGTTTTCATAAATTATCTGCTCTGTGGAAGTTTGATATAGCAGCATGAACAGACTGAGACTCCAACGCTTGTTTTTGTTATTTGTTCCAGTTGTTGTTTGCTGGTTTAGTGACTTTGTTGAACTCATTTTGTAACATCTGTATTCTTTGTCATGTGTGGCCACTGACATCTCATTCCTGTTATTGTAGTGGTCAGCTTGTGAATTAAAAGAGTTCTTATCTAGAACGACCCCTCCTCACCAAAACAAAACGAAACAAGAAACAATCTCCTAGTTTTCACAGATGGTCTCTTTGTGCATATTAGAACACACTTTCCTTTGGAAGGCCAACGTGGGCGGATCACAAGGTCAGGAGTTGGAGACCAGCCTGGCCAATATGGCAAAACCCCATCTCTACTAAAAATACAAAAAAAATTAGCCAGATGTGGTGGTGGGCGTCTGTAATCCCAGCTACTCGGGAGGCAGAGGCAGGAGAATCACTTGAACCCTGGATGCAGAGGTTGCAGTGAGTGGGGATCCTGCCACTGCACTCCAGCCTGGGTGATAAGAGCGAAACTCTGTCACCACCCACCCCGCCCGCAAAAACAAACAAACAAAGAAAAAACACAAAAGAAAACAAAAACAAACAAACAAAAACACTTTCAATTTTCAACTTGGCAGTATACAGCACAGCCATAACTTTCACTTCCTGCTTGAGGGTAACCTGAAGCGCCCATCACAGCTGGGTGTTAACTCACCAAACCAAAAAGCTAGGTGTGCCCAGTGGTACAAGGTGCGGGGTGCTGTGAATTAAGCAACTGTCTGGGTGAGGGGGGAGGGTATATATCCATGTATGCTGATAACTCCGTAAAATAAATGTATATAAGGATATACAGAAACCTCCCCCCCAAAAAACAGGGACAGGGAGAAGCCTTCATAATATACCCTTTTATATGTTTTATTTCTGAACATTGTGGATATATTACTTCTCCCAACACTTAAAGAAATTCATTACTCCTGGGAAGTCAACAAGAACAGGTAACCTTTTCTAGAATACTGGCTATGAATTACAGCATGAGATAGCAGCCAGTTAGAGATGCAGACAAGGTTTATGGAATTGTGTGTTTAGTGAACATGGAGAGTGAAATTGATCATTAAGGGCTGGATGCAACAGAGAGAACACGGACTCTGAGTCTGAACACCTGGAAGGGTCATGTACACACACACAGACACACACACACACACACAAAACGCACAAACCTGCCATTTATTTATTAAAAAGATACGAAGAGACCAATTCCACAGGTCTGTTGCTTAAATAAAGTCTCCTATGGCATGTGGAACAAGGAATTGAGATGACAGCAGAACAGAAATGATGCAAAGACATTACCTCTTTCTGAAGCCAGGTGATTCTGACTCTATCATCTACTAACTATAAGGTTTCAGATAGTGACACTACTCTGAAACCATTTTCTCGATGTAAAATAGGGGAGATCCACGTCTCACAGGGTTGTTGTGAGAAGGACACAGGCAATGTCTGGAAAGCACCTGAAATGGTACCTAACGTAACATGCGCTTGACAAATACTTGCTATGTAAAAGCAGGGAGAAAGATGCATTTATTTTTTTCTTTTCTGAAACTTTATTGCAGTATACATGACAAAAATTATATATATATATTCAAGGTATATAATGTGATGTGTTGATATGTGTATGCCTTGTAAATGATTACCAAAATCAACCCAATTAGCATATCCATTACCTCACATAGTTGCTTTTTAGTGGTGAGAACACTTAACATATACTCTCCTAACTTTCTAGGACAGAATACATTATTATTAACTATAGTCATCATGCTGTACATTGGTTCTTCAGAACTTTTTCAACTTACAACATGTGTGTACCCTTTGAGCAGAAAAATGCCTTCTCCTTACAGTCTTTTTATATCAGATGAATCATAACAAATAGAATATCTACAAAGTAGCTTAAGTAGCAAGGTTAACTGCTGTTATTTATCAGGAACCCTGGGGCATATTAAATGTCAGAGTTTATACTTCTGACTCAGTTATGACAGGGCTCTACACTGGGTTCTGCAACTCCCTTGGCCTTGTCCTCATGGATACCAAGTGGCTGTTTCTGCACAAAGATCACATCTCCATACCAGCATTCAATCAGCATGACAAGGATGAGGTGAAATTATTATTTTCACAAAGTGCTGTCATTTATCAGGCAAGTAAAATTTTATTAGAAATCCATGTTATTTCCATTTATGTATTTGGTGAGAACTCATTCATCTGGCAAACTCTAGCAGCAGGAAATACTAGGAAAACAAATATCTTGAAAGAGAAAAAAATTTTAATGATTCATTTTGACTAGTTATTATTTATCCCAAGACACTGTCAACACCATGACTCTTAAAACTTCAGTGTTCTCTTACTAAGGAAGAAAGTATAGAATGGCTTTTGTATCAGTGTCTGATAGTGTCTGTCATAATCTCTTTTCTGAGATAATTGATTAAGTCATGAGTATATTAGATTAGATAATTCAGGCAATTGCTTTCTGCCAAAGAGTAGTGGTGGTAGAAAATGTATGAGAAAGCTGCAATAAGTATTTTGGACAGCAAAAGACCGTTGAAATGTTAAAAATCTCCGGTGAATATTTTTAGGTAAATTTAGGGTCTGTTCCTACAGATACTAAATATTTTAGTCTTTGCATGTCATATAGTCTCTGTCTCATCTACTAACTCTGACTTTGCAGTTAATACCCAGCAATGGGCAATATATCAATAAATGGGCATGGCTCCGTTTCAATAAAACTTTATTATAAAGACATGGTTGGCTGAATTTGGCTTATAGGCTATAGTTTAACAATCCATGGTATAAGACAGACCAGTTTGTGATAAAACAAAATGGACAAAATTGTGTCTGTGTCTGTGTGTGTGTGTGTGTGTGTGTCTGTATGCAAAATCAATGGAACTGAGAGGATTCCAATTCACTTTAAATATTTTCAAATACAATAATGTTGAAGTTACAATAAAGTTATGTTATGTTTGATCCAATACTTGCATGAGGGTATGACTTAGTGCGTTTAAACAGCAACATCAGTATTATTTTCCAGCTCCCCAAGTGTCTGCTCAGGCTGCCACAACAAAATACCATAGAGTGTATGGCTTAACAGAAACTTATTTCTCACAGCTCTGGAGGCTGGAAGTATGAGACCAGGGTAATCACATGGTTTCTGGTGACAGCTGTCTGATTTGCAGATGACCAACTTCTTACTGTGTGCTCAAATGGCATGGCAGAGAGGGAGGGAGAGAAAGAGCATGCTCTCTGGTGTCTTTTCTTGTAAGGACTATCAGACAAAGGCTCCTTCCTCATGACCTCACCTCATCTAAACTTAATTATATCTTGAAGGCCCCTGTAGTGTGAAGGGTCCCAATCAGCTTACTAAAAGGTTTATTTCTGCTGCCCAAACCCTGAAGGCCAGGCCATGAGCCAAGGCCATGTTGCCCAGCCAGAGAGCAGGTGTCCCTGAGAACTCAAACATTCCAGACAGTATCTGAGAACCTACCAAGAAAAAGTCTCATCGCTTAAACACAGTAAGCAAGGAGCCAGAAAATTAGCTGAAAAGTACTTTAAAAATAATAAGCGGTGCAGATCTCTACAGCTGTCCTGCTGTTGTCCCGGAGTGCCTCCTATGTGAATCCTAATAATCTCATCTACTCGCCAAGCTGGACTTCTCCAAGTCATTTCTTGATCTCTTGGCTCACTCCCAGTTTGGGAGAAGGTATTTCTATATGATTCCAGGATTTTCTCCTTACAGCCCCATCTTCAAATACTATCACCTTGGAAGATAGTGCTTCAACATGTGATTTGGAGGGTACATGAACATTCAGTTGATAGCATTCTGCCCCTGGGGCCCCCAAATTCATGCCCTTCATGCATGCAAAATCCATGCTTTCCAAACTCCCAAAACAACCCTTATTTCTTTGAGGACAAAAACTGCCTTTGTAGAACTAACAAATTAGCCACAAGATTAGAAATTATGGCTCAAGAGTCATGTAGCCAGAGGTCACAAGGCTCATAACCTCCCCAACTGCTTCTATAGATAGCATCACTATTGTAAAACCTAAGACTGGTGTTCAAAACCCTTCATTCTGTTGTACCAGCTGGTTCCACCTGGACTGGTAAGCTGGTTTAACTGGTCTTGTGATCTGACCCAGGAACTGACTTAGCACAAGAGGACAGCCTCAACCCCCTATGACTTAATTCTTGACCCAATTAATGAGGATGACCCCTTCTCTAGCCCCCACCCACCAAATTATCATTTAAAAACCCTAGTCTCCAAATGTGGGGGGGAGATTTACTTGAGTAATAAATCCCTGACTTCTGTATGGCTGACCCTGCACTAATAAAACTATTCCTTTCCTGCAATACTGCTGTTTCACTAAATTGGCTCTATCTGTGCAGTGGGCAAGAAGAACCAGTTGGGCGATTACACTAGTACAGCCACTCCCTCGGTGTTCTCTTCAAACATAGATTCTTATTTTTTGCAGTATTGATAGGAAAAGAAATACCCACCACATTGGGAGTTGGGGCTTTCACATAAATTTTTGGTGGACACAGACATTCAGAACATAACATCAGGTGATGTAAATTACAGCCATGTTTAAAAACCAAGCTGCTAAAGAGTGCTTCTTAAAATTAAGAGTGTGTATTGATCACCTCGAGTCCTGTTACAATGCAGATTCTCATACTGTAGGTCTGAGTTGTGGCTTGAGATTTTGAATTGCTAATAGGTTGTCAGTTGAGATTGATGCTGTTGGTACATAGACCACACTTTGAGCAGCAAGATGCTCTGGTTTTCAATGCCTGTGATGCCCGGGTCCTGCCCCAAAGACTTATTTATTTCATCTGGGATGTGGCCTGGGCATTGAGATTTTCAAAAGTTCTGCTGCATTCTAATATGCAGCAAGGCTTGAGAACCTCTGTGCCAAAACTCATGATGATGTACTGATTCTAGTTATGTTATCAGTAGCCTTAATGTGTTCCCTTTTGCTCATTCTTGCCCCAAGCCCCACCCAGCCATTCCTCTGCTTTTCAGGTCCAAACATCCAGATGAAGGTGGGGATCAAGGTGAGCACTTCATCCTGTTGCTCTTATCCATCTCTGAGGAGTGGGAGGCAGTTCTGGATGGAAACAGGAGGCTCAAGCAACCTGAGATTGATTGGGAAGAACAAGCACAATATTCTAGGGGCAAATTCAAGGGTAAGCTGGTTGAGATAGAATGAGGAGGGGGAATACAATGAAAAAGTTATCACAGCAAAGCCTGTCTCCAGTCTTGGCCCTGAGAGTGGGACAGTAAAAACAGCCATGTACCCCCCTGAGTCCTGATAGCACCTGACAACCAAACCATCTTCTAAGGGTTTTTCCTTCTCAGTATGCAAGGCGACGTGGTTAGTAGAAATGCAAGAGTGACCCCCAGTGGCAAAGTATAGAAGTGAAGTATTTTCCCCAAAGCATAAACGAAGCAAGGGAACTTAAGAGTAGAGCATAATAATGGTGAGAGTGATAAATCATGGCTACCACATAGTGAACATACACTGTGCCAGGCACTACTGTAAGTGATTTACATATATTAGCTTATTTAATCTCAACAAGCCAATGATGTTAATGCTTTTATTATCCCCATATTACATAGGGAGAAACTGAGGCACGCCACGGTTAAATAACTTGCCCAAGTTTACCCAAGATGAGTGGATAAGCTGGAATTTAAACCAAGGCAATCTGAGGTTAACAAAACATTACACCAAATTTTCTCTCCAAAAATTAAAAAGACCCCTCAGTCAATGTAAAGTTTGAAACATTAAAAAATAGATACTTGCTCTGTTCTTTCTCATATTTACAGGAGAACAGTCAATGGACATATATATTTCAATAGGTAATACCTGAGACAAAGTCAGACAGTGCAGCAGTCCTTACAGCAGGCAGAGAAAAAGATACAGTGAGAAAACCAAGTTTGACTAAGACACATAAAGAGGCAATAGCATTTTCTGGAAACTGAACTCAAAGTGCCAGAATCCTAATTTTTAAGAAAGGTGTTAAAGTGCAGTCATGGGGAAATGTGGAAAATAATTACTACATGGCTAAACTTGTTTGTATTTAATAAATTTTCAATGCAATCTGCTAGCTTTAACAAGATACAAGTTACCCATGTGTCTTTGACTAAAGCATATAGTCTGTAAATTTTTGACTTTTATCTTTGTAACCCACAAAAGAAACAATATTGTCTTTTGTAGCACAGAAGAAGCAAGATGTTTTGAGTATTTTTCTACAGACATGGACAACCTTAGGGTTTACATGGATGGAGATTTCCTTTGGTCAAATAGTGAGTGGACTGAGAGGGGAGAAGAATTTTTAAAGGGAAACAGGAAAAAAACAGAGAAACAAGTGTATTATTTCTGTGTGGAATCTTATTTTCACTAGGAAATTATTTCTTTCTACCTATAGCCATGAAGAAAATATAAGGCTAACTATTCTCTATGTCTCTAAAGAAGAAACCAGAGGCTACATTAAGCTTGTCAGAACAGGCTGATTTTGAGGTAAAATTGGAGCAGACATTAGGGGTCATAGCCTAGAATAAGGTGATGGTCAAGGTGGGACCAGCAACTCTCTGGGTGTTCAAACACCTCAACCATCCCCTAAATGTTAGCTGCCCTGCACTCGGGGCTGGATTTGTCATACTCTTCCTCACACTCTCTTTCTGGTGAGCTCATCCAATCACATGACTTCAATACCATCTATAAAATGTCTCCTGTATGTGTATTTCCATTCCTCACCTCCTGTCCATGAGCATCGCTTGTCACTTTGTCCAAAATCCATCTAAAACTTGTCTACCTCTCTTCATTTAATCAGCCACCATCGCAGTTCAAGCCACACTAGTCTCTTACTTGGGCAATATCTCCACCTGGTCTCTACTTTCAACTCTCCCACACCCCTCTATATTCTTCAAAACAGCCAGAGTCACTGGCTTAACAGTCAGGAGTACATATACTACTTTATATTCAATATCACAAATTTGACCTTCAACCTTGATCTTTTATTTTTCATTCCTTCTACTGAAGTATTTTTTACCATGTTATTTTATTGGAAGAAATGGCAGAATTGAAAGAAAAAATCAGGAGTGGAGGATTTGTAAGGGTAATATGCAGGAAATCACCTCATATCTGTGGGGAATCCAGCCTAAGGCTCAGTCCCATTATCACTGTAACTCAGGGTGAGCTTGCCAAAGTACACTGCCATACTGTCACCCAGAGCCTCCATCTTGCTACCTAAAATCAGTAAATGTTAACATTTGCATACTTCCATAAACTACAAGTTTTTATGTAGGGTTGAAATCCAGCTTTATTTTAATCCCTGCCCAATCCCATTCCCTTCACTTCTTCCCCAGAGGCAACCACTAGGATGAATTCCAGACCATGTTTTACCCTTTACTGTGCACATGCACCCACAGACACCATGGCCCAAGAATACCCACCCCACCCCACCCCATATATCCGCATAGTTTATAAAGGGACGATTAATGTGTTTTCCAGGGACCTACAGAATACCATTCCCCTCCACCCCAGTAGATCCTGAAGTACATCCACGTAGGGCAGGGGTGGGTGGAGAGACTGCTGGATAAAACAAACATAAGAAGACTCTGTAGTTTCTTTCTGTCTTCTGAGATGCCCCACTCATCTCTCCTTCTGCATCTTTGCAGTCTTATTTTATCACCACTTTGCCTCATCCATGAAATATCACTCTGGTTTATAACCTACCTTGAAAGGGAGACATGGTCACCACCTTCAGGATCTGCAAGAACTATGAGTCCATTTCCAGGATGACAGTGTGAGGAGCTACAGGCACCTACTGCCCAGTGAAATAGGCGAAGCTGGTGAAAACTATTAAAAAAAAACATAAAGTTTCTAGAAATGTTTCCATGGATATAGCAAATGAAGAAACATTTATTTAAAAAATTATTAAAGCTTGAAAAGAACAGTGAGAATTTGTGGCATTTGAGCCATGACCTGCTTCCTATCTCCCCAAGGAGTTCAACTTGACAGAAGCTCCACTCTGGGTAAGTGTGACCTAAAAGACAAAGCTCCGTCTTCTCTCAACTCTCAATTAATGCTTACCACATTTCAATGGGAGGGGCATGCCACCAGTATTTGTGTTCTTCCACTTCAAGTTGTATAGGTAAGTCCCTGGTGACTGTGGATGAAAGGTCATCACTTCCTTCTTTAAACCAGACCCTACCCCATTGGATGGGGGCTGTACCCAAGGCATGAAAGAACAAGAATACTGGACTTGAAACTGCCCTTACCACAGCTCCTCCTTAGGAAAGAGGCTCCATGCTTGGAGAGACAATCTGAGAAGATCAGTGGCTTCCATGCCATGCAATGTCCACAGAGTCTTCCCCGGGAGGGAGGCTGTCTATAGGAAAAGTATACTAAATTCTCTCTATAGAAACTGAGTTTTTTTAAATTTTTAATTGTTGTGGGTACAAAGTGGGTGTATATATTATGGGTTACATGAGATATTTTTGATATAGGCATACAATGCGTAATAATCACATCATGGAAAATGAGGTGTCCATTCCTTCAAGCATCTATCCTTTGTGCTACAAACTCTTTTAGTTTGTTTTAGCTACACTCTTTGAGTTATTTTAAAATGTGCAATGAAATTATTACTGACCATAGTCACCCTGTTGTGTTATCAAATACTAGCTCTTATTCATTTGTTCCAACTATTTTGAGTACTCATTAACCATATGCACCTCCCCTTTCTCCTCCCTTCCCAACCTCTAGTAACAATCCTTCTACTCTCTATCTCCATGAGTTCAATTGTTTTGATTTTCAGATCCCACAAATGAGTGAGAACATGTGAAGTTTCTCTTTCTGTGCCTGGCTTATTTCACTTAACATAACGACCACCAGTTCCATCCATGTTGTTAAATATGACAGCATCTCATTTTTATTTATGGCTGAATAGTACTCCATTGTATACAAGTACCACATTATCCATTCATATGTTGGTGGACAGACATTTAGATTGCTTCCAAATCTTAGCTGTTTTGAACATTGCTGCAACAAACATGGAAGTGCAGATTTCTCTTCAATATTCTGATATGTTTTGTTTTGGATATATACCCAGCACTGGGATCACTGTATCATATAGTAGCTGTATTTATACTTTTTTTGAGAAACCTCCAAACTGATCTCCACAGTGGTTCTACTAATTTACATTCCGCCAACAGTATAGGAGGGATCCCTTTTCTTCGCACCCTTGCCAGCATTCGTTATTCCCTGTCTTTTAGATATAGGCCATTTTAACTGAGGTGAGATGATATCTCATAGTAGTTTTGATTTGCATTTTCCTGAAGATCCATGATGTTGAGCACCTTTTCATATGCCTGTTTGCCATATGTATGTCTTCTATTGAGAAATGTCTATTCAAAACTTTTGCCCAATTTTTGATTGGATTATTAGATGTTTTCCTATATAATTGTTTGAGCTTCTTATATATTCTTGTTATTAATCCCTTGTCAGATGAGTAGTTTGCAAATATTTTTCCCATTCTGTAGGTTGTTTCTTCACTTTGTTGATTGTTTCCTTTGCTGTGCAGAAGCTTTTTAGCTTGATGTAATCTCATTTGTCCATTTTAGCTTTGATATCCTGTGCTTGTGGGGTATTACTCAAGTAAATTTTGTCCAGACCAATGTCCTGGAGAGTTTTCCCAATGTTTTCTTGTAATAACTTCATAGTTGGAGGTCTTAGATTTAAGTATTTAATTCATTTTGATTTGATTTTCGTATATGGCAAGAGATAGGGGTCTAGGTTCATTCTTCTGCATGTGAATACCCAGTTGTCCCAGCACCATTTATTGAAGAGATGGTCTTTTCTTTAGTGTATGTCCTTGGCACCTTTGTTGAAAATCAGTTCACTGGCCAGGCATGGTGTCTCATGCGTGTAATCCCAGCACTTTGGGAGGCCAAGGCGGGTGGATCACCTGAGGTCAGAAGTTCGGGACCAGCCTGACCAACATGGTGAAACCCATCTCTACTAAAAATACAAAATTAGCTGAGTGTGGTGGCCCATGCCTGTAATCCCAGCTACTTGGGAGGCCGAGGCAAGAGAGTCGCTTGAACCCAGGAGGCAGAGTTTGCAGTGAGCTGAGATTGCACCATTGCACTGCAGCCTAGGCAACAAGAGCAAAACTCTGTCTAAAAAAAAAAAGAAAAGAAAAAGAAAAAAAAAGAACAAAAAGAAAAGAAAATCGGTTCACTGTAGGTGTGGGGATTTGTTCCTGGTATCTCCTTTCTGTTCCATTGGTCTATGTGTCTAGTTTTATGCCAGTACCATGTTGTTTTGATTTCGATGGATTTGTAGTGCAATTTAAAGTTGAATAATGTGATTTCTCCTGTTTTGTTCTTTTTATTCAGGATACCTTTGGCTATTCTGGGTCTTTTGTGGTTCCATATACATTTTAAGATTGTTTTTTCTATTTCTGTTGAAAGCATCATTGGTATTTTAATAAGGATAGCATTGAATCTGTAGGTTGCTTTGAGTAGTGTGAACATTTTAGCAATATTGATTCTTCCAATCCATGAACATGGAATATATTTTCATTTTTTGTGTCCTCTTCAACTTCTTTCATCAGTGTTTTATAGTTTTGTAGATATCTTTCACTTCTTTGGTTAATTCCTTGATAGTTTATTTAATTTGTAGCTATTCTAAATGTGATTACTTTCTTGATTTATTTTTCAGATTGTTTGCTGTTGGCATGTGGAAATGCTACTAATTCATAAGGTGATTTTGTATCCTGCAACTTTACTGAATGGGTTTATACGTTCTAATAATTTTTTGGTGAAATCTTTAGATTTTTCCAAATATAAGATCATATCATCTGCAAACAAGGATAATTTGACTTCTTCCTTTCCAATTTTGATGCCCTTTATTTCTTTCTTTTTTCTGATTGCTTTAACTAAGATGTCCAGTACTATGTTGAATAACAGTGGTGACAGTGAGCATCCTTGTTGTGTTCCAGATATAAAAGGGAAGGCTTTCAGTTCTTCCCCACTCCATTTGATATCAGCTGTTGGTCTGTTATATTTGGCTTTTATTATGTTGAGGTATTCTCTTCTACACCTAGTTTTTAAGGGCTTTTATCACGAAGGGATGTTGAAATTTATCGAATGCTTTTTCGGCAACAATTGAAATGATGATATGGTTTTGTCCTTCATTCTGTTCATATTATGTGTCACATTGATTGATTTGTGTATGTTGAGTTATCCTTGCATCCATGGGATAGATCTTACTTGTTCATGATGAATGTTCTTTTTAATGTGTTCTTGAATTCAGTTTGCTAGTATTTTCTTAAGGATTTTTGAGTGAATATTCATTACAGATATTCTCATGTAGTTTTCTTTTTTGATGAGTGTTAGTCTGGTTTTGGAATCAGAGTAATTCTGGCCTCATCGAATGAGTTTGGAAGTATTCCCTCCTCCTCTATTTTTCAGAATAGTTTCAGTAGGATTGGTATTCTTCTTTAAATGTTTGATAGAATGCAACAGCGAAGCCATTGAGTCTCGGGCTTCTCTTTACTGGAAGACTATTTATGATGGCTTTGATTTTACTACTTGTTATTTTTTTTCACATTTTGGATTTCTTCATGGTTCAAACTTGATAGGTTGTATGTGTCTAGGAGTTTATCCAGTTCCTCTAGATTTTCCCATTATTTGGCATATACTTGCTCATAGTACCCACTAATAATCCTTTGAATTTCTGTAGTATTAGTTGCAATGTCTCCTTTCCCATCTCTGATTTGATTTATTTGGGTCTTCTCCCTTTCTTCATCTAGAGAAGATGCTTGATATTATCTCAATTTTTTGAATGTTTTAAGACTTATTTTGTGATCATATCTCAAGTATATGATCTATCCTTGAGAATGATCCCTGTGCTGAGGAAAAGAATGTGTATTCTGTAGCCCTTGGATGAAATGTTCTATAAATATCTGTTAGATTCATTTTGTCAATTGTGCAGACTAAGTCTGATATTTCTTTGTTGACTTTGTATCTAGAAGATCTGTCCAATGCTGAAAGTGGGGTATTGAAGTCTCCAGCTATTATTGTATTGGGACTTTTCTCCCTTTAGTGCTAATAATATTTGTTTTATATATCTGGGTGCTCGGATGTTGGGTGCATATATATTTAAAATTGATATAGCCTCTTGCTGAACTGACCCCTTTATCATTATAGTAACCTTGTTTACCTCTTCTTATAGTTTTTGCCTTGAAATATATTTTGTTTAACACAAGCATAATAACTCCTTCTCTTCATTGGTTTCCATTGACATGGAATATATGTTTCCATTACTTTATTTTCAGTCTATGTGTATAGACTAAGAAGTATACTGGAAGTGTGTTTCTTACAGGTAACAGATCATTAGGTATTGTTTTTTTCATCCATTCAGCTACTCTATGACTATTTATTGGAGAGTTTAGTCCATTTTCATTCATTGCTATTATTGCTAAGTAGAGACTTTTTCCTGCCATTTTGTATTTATTTTCTGGTTGTTTTGTGGTCTTCTCTTCCTTCATTCCTTCCTTCTTTCCTTTCTGTCTTCCTTTCAGTGAAGGTGATTTTCTGTGACTCTGTGATTTAATTTCTTAATTTTTTTGTATCCATTGTATGTTTTTTGATTTGAGGTTATTATCTCATAACCCATTATTTTAAACTGATGACAACTTAACACTGATTGCATGAGCAAATAAACACACAAAAGGAAATCTAATAGAAGTTCTATACTTTTCATTCATTCCCCTGCTTCTTAACTTTTTGCTCTTTCTCTTTATGTCTTATTATACTGTCCATGTTTTGGAAAGTTGTTGTAGTTATTATTTTTGATTCATTCATCATTTAGTCTTTCTACTTAAGATAACGGTAGTTTACACATCACAATTACCGCGTTATAACATTCTGTGTTTTTTGTGTACTTATTATTACCAGTGATTTTGTATATTCAGATTATTTTATATTGTTCATTAACATCCTTTTCTGATTGAAGAACTCCTCTAGCATTTCTTTTAGGACAGGTCTGGTGTTGATGAAATCACTCAGCTTTTGCCTTGGAAGGTCTTTATTTCTCCTTATGCAGAAAAGATATTTTCACCAGATATGCTATTCTAGAGTAAAAGTGTTTATCCTTCAGCCCTTAAAATATGTCATGCTACTATCTCAAGGCTTGTAAGGCTTCCATCAAAAAGTCTGCTGCCAGATATATTGGAGCACAATTGTGTATTATTTGTTTACTTTCTCTTGCTGCTTTTATGATACTTTTAAATCTGTAACCTTTGGGACTTTGATTATTAAACAACTTGAGGTAGTCTCTTCTGGATTAATTCTGCTTGGTGTTATATAGCCTTCTTATACTTGAATGTTGATATTCTCTAGGTTTGAGACATTCTCTGATATTGTCCCTTTGAATCAACTTTTTACCCCCCTCTCTCTCTACCCCTCCTTTTAGGCCAATAACTTTTAGATTTGCTCTTTTGAAACTATTTTCTAGATCTTGTAGGCATGTTATATTGTTTTTTATTCTTATTTATTTTGCTTCCTTTGACTGTATATTTTCAAATAGCCTGTCTTTAAGCTCAATGCTTCATTCTTTTGCTTGACTAGTTCTGCTTTTAAGAGACTGATACATTCTTTTGTATGCCAATTACCTTTTTCAGCTCTAGAATTTCTGCTTGATTTTTTAAAAAATTATAGCAATCTATTTGTTAAATTTATCTGATAGGATTTTGAATTCTTTCTCTGTGTTATCTTGGTTTTCTTTGACTTCTCTCAAAATAGCTATTTTGAATTCTCTGTCTGAAAGGTCACACATTTCTGTCTCTCCAGAATTGGTCCCTGCTGCCTTATTTAGTTCATTTTGTGAGCTCATGATTTCCTGGATGATCTTGATGCTTGTAGATGTTTGCTGGTGTCTGGGCAGTGAAGACTTAGGTATTTATTGTCATCTCCACTGTCTGGGCTTGTTTGTGCCCATACTACTTGAGAAGGCTTTCCAGGTATTCAAAGGGACTTGGGCCCCAAGCCCAATAATGCTGTCATTTTTTCCAACTTGTAGAGGGATTGTCTTGGTGGTCTTGGATAAGATCAGGAAGAATTCTCTGGATTGCCAGGCAGAGACTCTTCTTCTTTCCCTTATTTTCTCCCAGACAAAGTCTCTCTCTTTCTCTATGCTGTTTTGCCTGGAACTTGGGGTGTGGTGATGCAAGCACCACTGTGGCCACCACCACTGGAACTGCACTTGGTCATACCTGTAGCCAGCACAGCACTGGGTCTCACACAAGGCCTACTGTAATCACTACTTGGCTATTACCATGTTCACTCAAGGCCCTAGGGCTCTACAATCAGCAGATGGTGAAGCCAGACAGATTTATGTCCTTTTCTTCAGGACAATGAATTCTGCAAGGACCCAGACAGATCCAGAGTTGCAGTCTGGGAGCCAGGGATTAGAATCAAAAACCTTAGAAATTTACCTGATTGGGAGGCTGAGGCAGGCAGATTACGAGGTCAGGAGATCGAGACCATCCTGGCTAACACGGAGAAACCCCATCTCTACTAAAAATACAAAAAATTAGCCGGGCGTGGTGGCAGGCGCCTGTAGTCCCAGCTACTCCGGAGGCTGAGGCAGGAGAATGGCGTGAACTTGGGAGGCAGAGCTTGCAGTGAGCCGAGATCGTGCCACTGCACTCCAGCCTGGGTGACAGAGCAAGACTCCGTCTCAAAAACAAAACAAAACAAAACAAAAAAAAAAACAGAAATTTACCTGATGTTCTATTTTACTGCAGCTAAGATGACATTCAAACCACAACACAATGTCCTTCCCAAACTTTCTTCCCCTTTCCACAGGCACAAGAGCCTTTTCCTGTGGCTGGGGGATTCTGTTAGGCCTTTGCTGATGTTCACTTAAATCTCAAAGGCTCTTCAGTCAGCTTATGGTGAATATTGCCAGGCCTAGGACTCACACTTGAGGGCAGTGGGCTCCCCTCTTGCCCAGGGCAGGTCCAGAAATGCTGTCCAAGAGCCTAGACCTGGACTCAGGAACCCTAGTAGCCTATTCATTGCTCTCCCCACTGTGGTTGAGCTCGTACCTAAGGCACAAGACAAGGTCCCCTTTACTTTCCCCTCTGCTTTTCTCAACAGGAGTATTTCAGCATAGCCACCACACTGGCAATATGCTGGGTCTTGCCTGAAGTCAGCACTTCCCAAGGCACATGGAATACTAGCAGGGTATTGCTGCTGGTTATTCAGTGCCCAACGGCTCGTCAGTTAATGGGTAATAAATCTTGCCAAGACTGGGTTCTTCCCTTCAAGGAAGCAGGTTCCCTTTCAGCCCAGAGTGCATCAAGAAATGTTGTCTGTGATCTAGGTCCTGGAATAGGGGCCTCACAACTCCGCCCATTGGCCTACCTTACTGTGGCTGAGCTGGTATCCAAGATGCAAGACAAAGTCCTCTTCACACTTCTCTCTCCTCTCCATAAGCAGCAGGAAGGGTTCACTTTCATTGCTGCAAGCTGTACTGCCTGGGGTTTGTGGAGAGGCGGTGCAAGCACTCCCTTACTCACCCTAGCTTGTGTCTTGCTACATCATATGTCACTCTATTCCACTGGCCTTGAGGCCAGCCCAGCACTAGGAGTTGCCTAGGAAATGCAGTCCTTGTATCCTAGGCTGTCTTTCAAGTTTACCTAGGACCCCAAAGCACTGTGGCTTCAGTGGCAAGGCTTGCTGAGAAATTCACATTCCGACTGCTGGGATGGGTGATTCCCCTCTGGCTAGGACTGGTCAAAGTGCTCCCACCATGTGTAGGCACTGGCTGGGCCAAGCCCCAACTTTGCTCTCCATTGTGACAGGGAAGCACTGAGTTCAATGTAAAGTTCTCCAGTTGCTGTACTCTCCCTGTCCTAAATGCACAGATTCTCTGTATCACATGACTGCTATCGGAGGATGGGGAGGGAGTGGTGTTGGTGATTTAAGACTGTCTGTCCTACCCACTTCAATGCCTCTTTTAGCAATATGAAGTTAAAACCACATACTGTGATTGCTCACCTGATTTTTTGTTCTTGTGACTGTACTTTTCTGTGTGCAGATTGTTGTTTAAATTTGCTGTTCCTTCAGGATGGATGAATAGTGTAGGCTTCTATTCCACCACCTTGCTCTGCCCCGACTTCAGAACTGAGTTATTTTTTTTTAAGCAGAGTGTGAGAGCATTCAAGCCAAAGACTGGTCTGAAAAACAATAGCTTCTCTTTTTTTGAAATTTATTCTATTGTAAAGCAAAACCAATGTATGACTTAATATAATTTTTATGAAGTGCCATCCTTTTAAGCACTACACAGGAGAAAACAACAGCAACAACAGAACCTCACCCATCACCCAGCAGCCCCTCCATGTGTCCACTTCAATCACACCAGCCTCACTCGCTAAAGTGACCTCCAACCTGATTTCATAACAATCACATCTGCATTCTTTTACAGCTTTATTACTCAAAGAGCATCCCTGGATACTATGATTTAAACTCATCCTTCATGCTTTTTATTTTTTAATTTTTAATTTTTAAAAATATTATATATAGTTAAGATATACCACATGATATTTTAATATTCATATAGATAATTAAGTGGTAACTATTGTCAAGCAAATTGGCATATCTATTATCTCACATAATTACCTATTTTATTTTTCTGGCAAGAGCACCTAAAATCTACTCTTTTAGTAAAAATCCCAAATACAATACAATACAATAGTATTTAGTATAGGCCTCAAGGTATCCATTAGATCTCTAGAATTGTTCATCCTACATATATGTTTCTTTGTAGCCCTTGACATACATCTCCTCACTTCTTACCTCCATCCTTGCCCCCTGGTAACCACTGCTTTATTCTCTATCTCTGCGTATTCAGCTTTGTTTGCTTGTTTGTTTTTAGATTCCACATATAAGAGAGATCATGTAGTATTTTTCTTTCTGTCTGGCTTATTTCATTTAGCATAATATCTTCCAGATTCATTCATGTTGTGAATGTTTTGATATATGCAAATCAATAAATGTGATTAACCACATTAACAAAATGAAAGATACAAATCATATGATCATCTCAGTAAATGCACAAAAAGCATTTGACAACATTCAACACTCTTTCATGATAAAACTCTCAACAGAATAGATATAGAGGTAATGCACCTCAGCACAATAAAAGTCATATATGACAAACTCTTAGCTAACATCACTGTTGGACTGCAGTGGCATGATCATGGCTCACTGCAACTTTGACTTCCTGGGCTCAGATGATTCTTCCACCACAACCTCCCGAGTAGCTGGGACTACACTTGCCACCACCATGCCCAGTTAACGTTTTGTATTCTTTGTTTAGAGGGGGTGGTGAAAATTTGAAAGCTTTCCCTCTAATATCAGAGAAAAGACAAGGATGCCCCCTTTCACTGCTTTTTTTCAACATAGTTCTAGAAATACTAGCCAGAGAATTTAGACAAGAGAAAGGAATAAAAGGGATCCAAATAGGAAAGGAAGAAGTGAAATTTTTTTCTGCTGACACATAATCTAAATATAGAAAATCCTATGGAATCCATACACACAAAAAAAAACTGTTAGAACTGATAAACAAATTCAGTAAGTTATAAAATGCAAAATCTACATACAAAAGTCATAGCATTTCTAAATACAAATAATGCACTGTCTAAAAGGGAAATTAAGAAAACAATACCATTTACAACAGCAACAACAACAACAAATATTCAGGTGTAAATTTTATTAAGGAGGTGAAAAACTTCTATACTGAAAACTACAGAACGTTGTTGAAATAAATTGAAGAAAATACAAAGAAATAGAATGATATCCCATGTTCATGGATTGGAAGAATATTGTTAAGATGTCCATGTTGGCTAGGAGTGGTGGCTCACACCTGTAATCCTGGTACTTTGGGAGGCCAAGGTGGGCAGTTTGCTTGAGCCCAGGAGTTCGAGACCAGCCTGGGCAACATGGCAAAACCCCATCTCTACAAAAAATACAAAACTTTAACTGGGCATGGTGGTGTGCAAGTGTAGTCCCAGCTACTTGGGAGGTTGTGGTGGAAGAATCATCTGAGCCCAGGAAGTCAAAGTTGCAGTGAGCCATGATCATGCCACTGCACTCCAGCCTGGGTGACAAAGTGAGGACCTGTCTCAAAAAACAACAACAACAATAAAATAAAACATGCCCACTGCAACCTCTAACATAAGGAAAAGGATATATTTCTCAGAAAAAATATCCTAAAATTTGTATGAAAACACAAAAGACATCAAGTAGCAAAACCAATTGAGCAAAAAGAAAGAGAATGAAGCTGGAGATATTGCAATACCTGATTTCAAAACATAAAGCAATTGTAATCAAAACAGTACAGTAGTATGGTACTGGCATACAAACAGACTCATTGGTCAATGGAATAGGATAGAAAGCCCAGAAATCTATGCATTTACAGTTCATTAATTTTTTACAAAGTTACCAAAAACATACAATGGGGAAAGGACAGTCTATTCAATAAATGGTACTGAGAAAACCGGTTATCTATGTGCAGAAGAATGAAATTAGACCCTTTTCTCACATCATGCACATACCATGCACAAAATTCAACTCAAAATGGATTAAAGATTTAATCGGAAGACCTGAAACTATAAAATCACTTAAAGAAAACATAGGAGAAAAGTTCTGTGACACTGGTCTGGGCAAGGACTTTTTAGACACGACCCTGAAAGCTCAAGCAACAATAAACTAAAAGGATTGCAAGAAATTAAAGCTTCTCCACAACAAAAGAAATAATTAACAAAATGAAGACATAGCCAAAAGATTGAGAAAAAAAATATTTGCATGCCATACATTTGATAAGGGGTTAATATCCAAAATATATAAGGAACTAAAACACCTGAATCATAGAAAACCAATAACCCATTTAAAAAATGGACAAAGAACCTGAACAGGCACTTCTCAAAAGAAGACATACAAATGGCCAACAGGTTCATTTAAAAAATGTTCAGCATCATTGATCATTAGGGAAATGCAAATTAAAACTAAAGTGAGATATCAATTCACACCTATTAGAATGGTTTTTATCAAAAAGATGAAAGACAAGTTTTGGCAAGGATGTTTAGGGAGCAATTGTGCACTGTTGCTAAGAATGTAAATTAGTACAGCCATTATGAAAAACAGTATAGAGATTCATTAAAAAAAATCTTAAAATAGAACAACAATCCCACTTCTGGAAATGTATCCAAAGTAATTGAAATCAATATGTGAAAGGGATATTTGCACTCTCATGTTTATTGCAACATTATTCATAATAGCTAAGATACACAATCAACCTAAGTGTCTATCAACAGATGAATGGATAAAGAAAATGTGATATATATACCAAATACAATACTATTCAGCCTTAGAAAAAGAACAAAATTCTGTCATTTGGGGCAACATGGATGAATTTAGAGGACACTATGCTAAGTGGAATAAGCCAGACACAGAAAGACAGATACTGCATGATCTCACTTTTATGTGGAATCTTAAAAATGTCGAATTTATAAAAGTATAGAGTAGAATGATGCTTACCAGAGGCTAGGGAGTGGGAGAGTGTGAGGAAGTGGGGAGTTGCTGCTTAAAGTGTACATTGTTTCAGCTAGACAGGAGTAATACATTTTGAGATACATTGCACAGCAGGGTGACTATATTCAATAATAACATACTGTATATTTCAAAATAACTAAGAGTAAATTTCAAATGTATCACCAAAAAACGTCAAACAAATTAGGTGGTAGATATGTTATCTAGTTTATTTTTGTTACTCCACACTGTATACATATATCAAAACATCACGTTGTACTTAATAAAGGTAGTACAATTACGATTTTTCCATTTAAAATAGTATTAATAAAAAAGAAACAAGAGTATGTTGCTCAGAAGAGTAAAGGATCAGTAGCATTTCCTAGAAACTGAGTGGAAAGAACCACAATCCTTATTTTTAAGAAAGTGTTGAAGTACAGTTATGAGGAAATTTGGAAATTAATTATTGCTTAGCTAAACTTGTTTATATTGTATGAAATACCTCAAAGCCATCTGTTAGCTTTAAAAATAACTACTCATGTGTCTTTGAATATATGATACAAATCTATACATTTTTAACTTTTTTCTTTGTAATGCACACAAGGCCCAAAAGAAACAAAATGTATGTTTTTCCCAGACACAGACAGCCCTAGGGTTTATATGGGTGCAGATTCATTTGGTTACATAAAGAAGGAACTGAGAGAGAGGTACAGTGTTGAAAAGGGAACAGAAGAAAAAGGAAATACATACAAATACATGTCTATCACTTCTTTAGAAACTCTTTTTAGTAGAAATTTTTTTTTTCCTACACACAACCATGAAGATGAAGTAAAAGGCTAACACTTCTTTACATCTTGAAAGAAGGACTAAAGGCCACATTGAGGTGAGGAATTGGCTAATTTTGAAATAAACTTGTGGCAGACACTGGAGCCACAGTCTGGAATAAGGTATTGGTAAAAGTGGAACCTGCAATTCTCTGGGTGTGCGAACACCTCAACCAACCTCAGAATGTTAGCTTACATGGGCATGGGGCTGGCTATGCCATACTCTGTTACACTTTTTTTCTGATGAGCTTATCCAGTCACATGATTTCAATACCATTTATAGAATGATCTCCCAATGTGTTCGTTTCCAAAACCGGCATTCATTTTTCCTGCTAACTGCATGACATTTTGACTTAAATGTCTAATAGGAATCTCTGATTATACATTATATGCCTTCCCCAACCCTCCACCCCAAGTGTCCCCCCTGCAAGCTCCCCAGATTTTAAAATATCACCTTTAACCCAGGCGCTCAAGGCCAAACCCCGGAACATAGGTTATTTTCCCCATCTCACGTTCCTCATTTCCCATCCCTGGGCAATTCTTGTTGACTTGTCCAAAATCCACCTGGAACTTGTCTACCTCCCTTCATTTCCTCAGCCACCATCACATTTCAAGACATGCTAGCCTCTCATCTGCACCAACTACAATGTCTCTGCCTGGTCTCCACCTTCAACCCTCCCCGACACCCCTACATTCTTCAAAGTAGCCAGAGTTCTACTTTATATTCAATACTATAAACTTGACTCCCAACTTTGACCTTATATTTTTCAGCTCTTCTATTGAGGTAATTTGTTTTTCTTTGGTACCACGTCACTTTAATGGAAGAAATGATTCAATCAAAGAGAAAAAAAAAACAAAAATAAATAAGTAGAGGTTTTGTAAGGGCAATATGTATGCCCAGCCCTGGCGACCACAGAAATGCATCTCCTGGCAATGGGGAAGCCAGCTTAAGTCTCGGTTTCCATTATCACTATTACTCAGGGTAAGCTTGCCAAAGAGACGCTCTGCCATGTCATCTTCCAAATACCCCATCTTGCTACCCAGAATCAAGAAATGTTAGCATTTGCATATTTAAAAAAGAAAACTTTTCATGTAAAATTAAAAACCTCATTATTTTAATCCCTGCCCAATCCCATTCCCCTGACTTTTTCCCCAGAGACAACCACTAGGATGAATTCTAGACCATATTTTACACTTTACCATGCACATGCACCCACAGACACAAGGGCCTAAGACCACTCAGCCCACCCTCCCTACCCCATATATCCACATAGCTTAGAAAGAAAAGATTAATGTGTTTTACAGGGACTCATAGAATACCCTCCACCTCCATCCTTAGAGACCCCGAGCTGCATGCAGATGGAGCAGCCCTGGGTGGAAAGACTGCTGGACACCCTTTTTAAACTTGCATGGGGATTTGCCCTAGTTAGTAAAAGGTGAGAGTTTTGCAGGCACGCCTCAACTGGACACCTTCATCGCTTTGAGAACCAGATAACTTTATTGCCAACAATGGTAAAACTGAAAGGAAAAAACTGAAGAGAAGGTTCTGAAAGGGTAACATGCACGCCCCGCCAGGTGGCCCGACCCAGGGAAGGCACCTCGTGGCTGTGGGGCCCGTCTGGGCTCAGGTCTCTTCGTCGCTGTGGCTCAGGGAGAGTTTGTTAAACAGGTTCTCAGCCAGGCCGGCTTCTGGGACCCACATCTTCCCCAGGTTGTTCACATAGCCACCCAGCTCTTCGATGGTCTTGACCTGTTGGTGTAGGTAGTGGCTCTCCAGGAAGTCGCACAGCTGGGCTCGCCCTTCTCCAAGGCCAGCTGGTGCAGCTCCAGGAGGCTGTAGTTGATGCTCTTCTCCAGGTGGAAGGCACACTCCATGGCCTCGAGCCCGCTCTGCCAGCCTTGGCGCTCTGGCTCCCTGATGTCATGAAGGCAGATGCGGCCACTGCGCTGGTTCTGCAGCCTCATCAGCTCCTGGGCATGCTCCATCTTCTCGTCTGATTGGTGCAGGAAGTAGCGGCCAAAGTGCTCCAGGGCCACGTCATCCCGTTCAAAGTAGAAAGCCATGGACAGGTACACATAGGAGGCGTGGAACTCCAGGTCGATGTGGCTGTTGATGGCGGCCTCGCAGTTGGTGTGGTAGCTGTGGCGCACCTGCTACAGCCGGGCGGTGGCCATGGCGGGCAACGCTGACAATGAGCACGCAGGCAAAGGCAGTAGCGCGCAGGCAGCGGTAGCGGTGGCGAGGAATGGCGGACGGTGAATGGCGGTTGTGTGACGGAACCGGAAGTGGGCAGTGGAGACTGTTATGAAGGAAGGGGCGTGCTTCGAGGCTAGTTGGTTTGAATGAGGGACAGACTTCGGGGGCGAGGTGTGGGGCTCCAGCGTTCCATGAGTTCCATAAGTTCCACCTGAAACTCCAGAGTTCCGTGAGTTCCACCTGAAACTCCAGAGTTCCATGAACTCCACAAACTCCAGAGTTCCGTGAATTCCACCTGAAACCCTGGCGACTGGACTGTAACCTGACCTTTTCACCTATAACGTATTTTTAAAGTTATTTATGAATATAAGTGTAACCACTTTGAGTGAATCACCTGGGTGATTTCTTAAAGAAATTTATTACAATATTATCAAAATGTGATTGTTTTATCAAATGTACTGTTTTTTGTGATGTCATTAGTTATACTTAATATCACAAAGCTTTATTTGAATGGCAGATATCCTCAGTGACTTCAGCATCCTTACTAGTGACACTTCCAATAACCTCCTTACTCACTTCCTAGACCTTATTAACTTTAGCAACCTTCATTTTTTTTCTTTCTACTCATGGTCAAGTTCCCACTTCTCTGACAGCAGAGAACCACCTCCAAAATATCAAACAGTGAACCTTTCCACCTTTCCATGTTTCCCACTCTTTGAACTTGTTCTTCACTCCTTTTTCTCTTCTAGTATCTTAATCTTTCAGCAGCATCCTAGAAACACTTTTTTTTCAAGTCGTCCTGTCTGGATCCCAAAATAGACAATTCCAAGATCTCTTCCCTGACATCCTAGATTTGCTCACCCCTTTCACCTAGATTGCAAATTTCCTCTTCTTGGGTAAGTACAGACTTAAAAGCCTTGGGTGAATTCTTAGAGAAAGCACAACACCTTCAACTTCCTTTACTTCCATTGCCACTCAGTAAGCCTTTTTAAATTTAATCCTTCTTTTAGGTTCTATGAAATGAGTCATATTAGCATTGTGAATTTAGGCAGTTCTTGATCTATATTTTCAGCGTACTGCTACTTCATTAAAAGTATGTAGATACAGAACAAATGCAATAAGCATATGTTATTCCTTTCTTAGGAAGTAAGAGAGACATTGGATTCTGTGTCAAATAGACCTCATTTGGAAGCTTGACTTCACCTATTTCGAGTTGTGTGAACTTGCATTAGTGTTTTACTCCTGGGAAGAATAATACCAATAATGAGTTTTAAGTAATAAATTAGATGATGCATTAAACATGAGGGTTATATAGCACTTAGTTTAATGATTGCAATCAATGTGTGATAGCTATTATTTTTTAAAAATAGGCTGTCCCTGAGAAAGCTGTCTAATCATTATATAAATGCTCACCTTAGTTTAACTTTAGATTTTTATGTTATAATTCCAAAAGGCAAATATAATACCTTTTTTTCTTTCCTCTTACTCTGTCCTTTTTTATTTTCAGCTAATCACTAAAATCTCCTTTATGTTATTTCTGGTGGAAATGTTAGAAAATGCTATCCTAAAATATGAATAGCTTTTGCAATCAATAAATCCCAAAGATTAGTCTGACAAAGTGACAAACTTCAAAAAGTAGCTTATAAAAAGGATAAACTTCTATAGACATTTCTTATATTATTGTCCTGAATTGTTATTTAATTTTGAGTATGTCTGTCTTGTTTCTCTGCCAAAATTGTAAATTTCTTAAGGTCAGGATCCTTAGATTATGTCTGTTTGTTTCTATTGCAGAGCTTTCTCTTCTATAGGCTTAATAAGGATGATGTCAGAAGTATATCTTATTTTAAATTTTTTTATTTTGTTTTAATACAATATAGTAGTATAGTAGTAGATACTATTTTAAATTATTTAAAGAGTAGTATATCTAACTTTAGTCTATTGAATACAGATCCGCTAAATACTGGTACTGGCATTCTGTACTTTATTTTGAAAAATTTGATAGTTCACAAAGCTGAATTTGTTTTTATTTGAGGAAATGAAGCAGAAAATCAAATATGCAATGTATAGTGGATTTGAGTGATCTTCTTTTAGAAGTTTGTTACTTCCCATGGACACCAGAAATAAAGTCTGATTGAGAAGGTAAAATTAAAATCACATGTAACTGCCAACAGCTCACATGACAAAGAACTGGAGAATAAGGATGCATGATGATTATTTTAAACAAATACTTAATTCATTGGCAAGCTAGAGCTTACAAGGGCCCAAACCTAAGCTATGAATTTAAAAGACAATAAATAATTCTAAATTTTTCTTCTCTGGTGTTTACATAGTTGGGCTGATACCTTCCTACCCTTACCCTACCCTGCTACATGTCTACAATAATATTCATTCTTAGCTTCATTTATCAAATTTGTTAATTACATGAGAATTAGGCTGGTATCTCCCAGCATTTATTGAATAATAAAACCTATCACTTCCACCTTTGATGGGGATATTGTGTTCTCATAAGGAACTCTTCAACTTCCACATATATACATGGGGACTGGCTCCTGAAAACTAATAGAAATACAGCTATTTTCATTGTATTAAATGATTGAACCCCTTATTTTCTCTGGCTAATTATCTATTTTAGGGTGGAAAGAAATCAGGTTTCACCGTGCCTCTCTAATGTTGTAGAATAGACATGTGCTTGGTATACGATTAGATCACAATTGCCTTTAAGGAGTGATTTTAAGTCCTATATATTTATGCCACTCAAAAACTTGTGACTCTGTGGTTCAATAGATTATTACGGTATTATGGAGTGTACTATCAGCTTTAGGGGGATGGCTGGCCTAAAGTAGAGGATTATATGGACATACACGACTAAAGGAAATTTTGACAGAGAAAATTTGCTACAGCCTACTCTAACCTATTTTCAACACCCAAACATATACTCATTTAAAACAATTTTAATATGAATATATGAATCTAGTTAGCAATGTTTAATAATTAAAGTGTTTGTTTTCACTATGATTGTTATGAATACAAAATGTTTTTCCCTCAAATTGTTAGAAAGACTGAGATATACTTTATTTCTTTAGTGGGATGTAACGTTATTCAAAAAGTTAAGTGCTGTGTTCCTGGACCAAAAAAAAAAAAAAAAGGAACCAGCAAAGTAAATTATTAAGAACCTCCAGATTTCACTTTTTTTTAAATTATAAACTACAAAATTACAAAATTGGCTACTTCATTATCTTTCAATTATTTCATGTGTCATCAACTTCTTCATGATGCAAATATTTGTTGAATGATGCTGTAAATATTTTTCTTACTTAAAGGCATAGTTTTTATTATACGCACTAAAGATTCCTTAGTTACTCTAATCATAGAATGAAAAGAGGTCAATATCCTCAAGCTCTGTTTAAATGATCAGAGATTAGGAGTGCATAGCAGGGGTATCACTGCCCATGGAATCCAATTCTATTTGGCTTCTGGCTTTTACATCCTTCCAGAGCTGAATTTATCACCACTTCTGCTACACAACTGACAAAGCTATGGATACTATGCCAGGCCAAGAGAGAAAATCAGACTACAACTACTTCAAGAAATATGAAGGCATATATTTCTTTTTCCTTTATTAGAGGCCCCCGTGCAAGTGTTCCTACCCTTGTTTCAGTGGTTGGAGCCCAAGGTTTCAAAGTGAATATTTCTTTGTTCATAAAATTGCTGAATGCCAGTATGGAAATAAGACACGATTATCAAAGTGTCACTTCAGCATTAGGGAAAAAAAGACATGCAATTAGAAGACTTTAACTCTAAACCTCACTCTTAACCTTAGATAACACAGTTATTTGAAATTTTCTTAGCTATAAAATGGAAATAATATTTAAATCTTTATGCCGTTAGCATCAAAAAGAAAAAATAATTATGCAAAGATGAATGGGCTTTGAAAACTTTAAGAGGCTACACAAATAAAATTATGTATCAGGCTGTCCTAAACTCCTTTGCTTTCTATAAACTATAGATTGGAGGTCAGATTGTTTTCTGAAGTCTCACTGGTGTTTAAAATCCAAATAGATTAAATGCTGCTCCTGTTTGCCTGCATGACAACTGATACCAATGTGGGTAGTTACAGTGTTGAGAAACTCACATAATTTCTCCAAGAAAGCATATTTTACTGGGATTTGCCATTCCTAATAAACAAAAGAGGGCTTACTATTGACTCTGATTTTGCAAATGTATTTCTTCATGTTAAGCAACAGCTAAGATTGAGTATGATTAAATTGGAGGCTATCACACTGGATTAATGTGATCAAAATGTTTCTTTTCCACCATGGCTTCTTTCCTTTCTGTGTTTGTTACACCATTCTTTATTACATCTCTTCCTCCTTCTCTTCCATAAATCTATAGGCATACCCTGTTTTATTTTGCTTCACTTTATTGTGCTTTGCAGATATTGTGTTTTATACAAATTGACTGTGGCAAACCTGCACTGAGCACGTCTCTTGGCACCATTTTTCCAACAGCATGTGCTCACTTCCTGTCTGTCATATTTTGACATTCCTCACAATATTTCAAATCTTTTTATTATTATTATATCTGTTATGGTGATCTGTGATCAGCGATCCTTTATGTTACTCTTGTAATTGTTTTGCAGTACTATGAACCATGTCCATATAAGATGTGAACTTAATCAATAAATGTTGTGCCTGTTCTGACTGCTCCACAAATTAACCATTCCCCCATCTCTCTCCCTCTCATAGGGCCTCCCTATTTTCTGAGACACATATTGAAATTAGGCCAATTAATAACCCCACAATGGCCTCTAAGTATTCAAGTGAAAAGAAGAGTCACATGTCTCTCACTTTAAATAAAAAGTTAGACATTATTAAGCTTAGTGAGGAAGGCAAGTCAAAAGCTGGTATAGTCCAAAAGCTAGGTCTCTTGTGCCAAACAGTTAGCCAAGTTGTGAATTCAAAGGAAAAGTTCTTGAAGGAAATTAAAAGTGCTACTCTAGTGAACACACCAATGATAAGAAGGTGAAACAGCCTTATTGCTGATATGCAATTGAGTGGTCTCAATAGACTATCAAAACCAGCCACAATGTGCTCTTAAGCCAAAGCCTAATCCAGAGCAAGGTCCTAAGTCTCATCAATTTTGTGAAGAGAGAGAGGGGAGAAAGCCGCAGAAGGAAAGTTGGAAGCTAGCAGAGGTTGGTTTATGAGCTTTAAGGAAGAAGCCATCTTTATAAGTGCAAGATGAGGCAGCAAGTGCTGATGGAGAAGCTGCAGCAAATTATCCGAAAGATTTAACTAAGATAACTGATGAAGATGGTTATAGTAAACAACAGATTTACAATACAGATAAAACAGCCTTATACTGGAAAAACATGTCATCTATGACGTATCTAGAGAGAAGAAGTTAATGCTTGGCTTCAAAGCTTCAATGGACAGACTACCTTTGTTGTGAGGAGCTAATGTACCTGATGACTTTAAGTGGAAGCCAGTGCTCATTTACTATTCCAAAACTCCTAGGCCCCTTAAGAATTATGTGAAATATAATCTCCCAGTGCTCTATAAATAGAATAACAAAGCCTGGGTAGTAGCACATCTGTTCACTGACTATTTTAAGCCCACTGTTGAGATCTAGTACTGAGAAAAAAAACAGATTTCTTTCAGAATATTACTGCTTGTTGACAGTACACCAGGTCACCCAGAGCTCTCTGATGGAGATGTACAAGTAGATTAATGCTGTTTTTATGCCTACTAACACAACATCCATTCTGCACCCCGTGAATCAAGGAGCAATTTTGACTTATTATTTGTCTTATTATTTAAGAAATGTGTTTTGTAAGGCCATAGCTACAATGGAAAGTGATTCCTCTGATAGATCTGGGCAAGGAAGATTGAAAACCTTCTGGAAATAATTTACCATTATAGCTGCCATTAAGAACATTCATGATTAATGGGAGAAGGTCAAAATATCATCACTAATAGGAGTATGAGAGAAGGTGATCCCAGTCTTTATGGATGACTTTGAGGGGTTCAAGACTTCAGTGGAGGAAGGTACTGCAGATGTGGCAGAAATGGCAAGAGAACCAGAAGTGGAGCCTGAAGATGCGACTGAATTACTACAATCTCATGATAAAACTTGAATGGATAAGGAGTTGCTTTTTATGGATGAGCAAAGAAAGTGGTTTCTTGAGATTGAATTTACTCCTGGTGAAGCTGTGAACATCGCTGAAATGACCAAAAAAAAAAAAAAAGATTTAGAATATTACAGAAATGTAGTTAACAGGATTTGAAAAGATTGACTCAAATTTTGAAAGAAGTTATATTGTGGGTAAAATGCTATCAAATAGCATCACATGCTACAGAGAAATCTTTTGTGAAAGGAAGAGTCAATTGATATGGCAAACTTCATTGTTGTCCTATTTTAAGAAACTGCCATAGCCAATCCCCCAACCTTCAGCAACCACCACCCTGATTGATCAACAGCAATCAACATCGAGGCAAGACCTCTCGCCACCAGCAAGATTACAACTTGCCGAAAGACCAAAAGATTGTTAACATTTTTAGCAATAAATTATTTTTAAATAAAGTAACCCGCCTCGGCCTGCCAAAGTGCTGGGATTACAGGCATGAGCCACCATGCCTGGCCATATTTTCATTTTATTCAATTTATACTTTAAAAGTTTGCTGCCTTTTTCAGCCCAGCTAAGTGTCAGCTCAAAGTAGTCCAGGAACTTAAAAAGAAAACAACTTGCATTTGTATTTCTCTTAGGTTTTAACTCTACTGCACCTATTATGGTGACGGTGCATATTGTGTAAATGCTAAAGAGAAAAAGGAAATGGCAGTGATAAATGCCAGTCACACCGAGAAGATGGATTCACATTCCAGGTTGTAATACAGTATTGTTACACAAATTTAAAATGCAAAGGGAATGCTTAGCCAGTTCCATTCTGTCAGCCTTTAGGGTTTTGCAAAGGTAGGAGACATCTGAGAATCTCCAAAATGAGGTCTGGCTCACCAACCTCTGCAAATAAGTTATAGGACAACTTTACTTTTAATTAACTTTTATTTCTCATGAGTTGATTTTTTTGTGACGTTCCTCTTGATTTTCCCAGATTCTCATGTCACCAGGGTAGATAGGCTGGCAGTGGCCAATGTTGTTCTAAGAGAAATCCTAAAGACTACCCAATTTTTTTTTTTCTTGAATCCGCAGGATCCTGTTTTGTGAAAATTCCTCTTACGCCCACCTATAGGATAGACAGTGGAGGCCCCCCCTGGGAGAAAGTGTACACAGAAAGTGCTATCTAATTACAGAAGTAGCAGAATTTCCTTTGTGCTCAGAGGGGAAGTGCTACAAAAGTGTAATTACTTTACCCAGCATGTGTGATTTACGGGACTTAAAATGTGTGAGTTTCCAAAGAGTCATCTGTTTTTAAATACAGTATCCCTCCCAGCCAGGCAGGATGTGTTTGGGGAGGTGGGAGTGAGGACATGTACTTCCGTCCTGTGCCTGCTGCAGGATGCCTGGTGACAGGGGACTGAAACCACTGGTACTTGCTGCCCCTCAGGGTCTTGCTTATCTGAGTAGAAGGAAGAAAATCAGCAAAGGGCTGGAATCTAGTCAGCTACTCCCAGACCAGATCATCCACTGCTCTCCTCTTACCTTCCCAAGCCAAATTCTTTTTCTAGGACCTCCAAGACTTTTCCCAGTAATAAGCAAAAGAATTGTTAGAGTGAACCCTGAGACCGTTTTTAAAATTTATTTATCTTTCTTTCTTTCTTTTTCTTTTTCTTTTTTTTTTTTTTACCTGTTTTTATTTGAGATGGAGTCTTGTGGTGTTGCCCAGGCTGGTCTTAAAACTCCTGGGTTCAAGCGATCCTCCCGCCTCGGCCTCCCAAAGTGCTGGAATTATAGACGAGACCATTTTTATTGCACAAATTTTCTTTTCAATCTTACTTTTCCTAATATGCTTAAGAAAATCAGTGGGAGAATTGAAGATCAGGTGCAGTGGCTGGGCCAGGTGGCTCACACTTAGCACTTCATGAGGCTAGCACTTTAGGAGGCTGAGGCAGGCAGATCAGTTGAGCCCAGGAGTTCGAGACCAGCCTGAGCAACACGGCAAAACCTCATCTCTACAAAAAAAATTAGCCAGGCGTGGTGGCGTGTGCCTGTAGTCCCAGCTACTTAGGAGGCTGAGGTGGGAGGATTGCCTGAGCTCGGGAGGTCGAGGCGGCTGTGAGCCATGATCGCACCACTGCACTCCAGCCTGGACAGAGTGAGACTCTGTCTCAAAAAAAAAAAAAAAAAAAGACCAGGTGCATATCCAGATGTAATCAAACCTGTAAAAACACTTAATGGTTTTTGCATATTAATGGATTGATTAAACATTTATGGAGTTGGTGTCTACTCTGCTTTTAACATTGCTCTTTGACAAACCATATGAAGTGTTGCCATCCCATGTTTTGGGATAAGAAAGCTAAGGCTCTGAGAGATTAAGTAATTGGTCTGAGGTTTTACAGCTGGTGGATAGGAGCTTAAAATTCTCCAGTGGCATATGAGGTTCATGTGATCCGGGCCCTGCTGGTTTCTCTGACCTCATCTGCCAAGAATCACAGCCTCATTCATTATGCTCCAGCTGCCTGGGCTTTCGTTAGGTGTCTCCAACTTGCCAAACTTGTTCCTGCCTCAGGGCCTTTGTGCAAGCCATTCTGTATGCCCGGAAAGCCCTACACTCAGACATTATCAGCCTCATCCTTGCCATTCATTTAGATCTCAATTCAGATGTCACCCCAGAGAGACCTTTGACCTCCAAGTTTAAAGTAGCCCTATATTCCCAACCCTTTTATTTTCCAAATAGTACTTCTTACCTCCTGACGTTGCCTTGTATGCTTATTGTACTTATTTGGTACCCTTGGAATGTAACTCCCTGGCAGCAGACTGCCTGCCTTGTTTAACACTGTACAAACCTCAGATGCCTAGGACAATGCCCAGAACTGTCCAATAAGTTTTTTTGTGAATTGACTAGAATGTAAATCTGCTTTACAGACGCCAAAGCCTGTCTGATACACTGTATCATCATAAACCTTTTTCAGCAGTTTTCAGGTTAAACTTTATATTTCTGCCTTGAAGATGATCATTTCTGGTCCTCATCCCCACTTTATTGCATACAAAACCGCAGTTGTCATCTCACACACTTTTAAGCTGGAAATGTTCAGATGGTAAGTGATAAGAGCCCTTGTCGGGGTATGCAGCAGTTTTTCACACATAAACGAATCCTTCCCTTTTGTCCACTTAGGATGGGAAACCTACTAATTCCACAGAACGAGGAGAGGGATGTGGGCCTGGAGTGTAGGGAATGCCTAAGTACCAGTAGGGCAAGGTGAATTTGATTCCTGTTTTGCAGATGTGACTGTTAGGTTGTTAGGGTTAATTTAATAACCCAGGTGGAATTGATTTGGAGATAGACTTACCACTTCTGATCCTTTGATTGGATCTAGCCTCCAGCTCAATATACCTTCCTCAATTTGCCTACAAGAAGAAAAAGATCTGAAGCTCAGCATAATGCTGGCTTTAGCCAGAAGAATCCAGCCTTTAAGCCATCTATATGTGTAGCCATGAAGGACCTTCTAATATGCCTTGTGAGCCCTTATGGGGCCACCTCACAGCCACAATTTATGCCCACGTGTCAGCCTCACAGACTCAGGAGCTGTTTCTATTCATTGTAAAGCAGACCAGATGACATTTCAGGATGAAAGAAATGTAAGTCATCATTACATACGGCATCAGGCTAACAAGTCACCTGTTAGTTGAGCAGACTAGTTAGTTGGTGAAAATGCATCGATGAAAATGCAGACCATTGGATTATCCTCATTTATAGCATTTATGTCACACTTCACCTTCAACAAACTTGGTTAACTTAACCATCGTCCATTACCTGATAGTCTTAGAACCAATAGTATATAAATCCTTATAGAAGTTATTTCTTGACCAATCAATTCATGAGTATTCTTTGTTTTCTCTCTTATTATCTCATTATCTCTTTGTTTCTAAGGGACCTAGGACAAGCCACTGAAGCTGCTTGTCTTTGACAAGTCATTTTAACCTGTTTCCTTAACTAAAAGGTAGGGATTGTATAGACAGCACCTGTGGTGCATTAAAAGAACCATAAATCTCATTTTTCCACTTTCATTCCACTTTCCATTTCCCCATTGTGATGCAGAAAGCTGCCGTGGCGTGCCAAGACACATCCAGGGTGGGCTGTTTGGGGGGAATGGTTTTAATTTTAAGCCTTTTAAGTGAAAACCCTTAGACCTTGCCTCTGTTTTGTTAAATTACGATTCTAACAAAATAAGAAAAAATTAGTGAAGCACTAGACTTTGGAAACTCTTTCCTGTATATTTGAAATGATTTTCTTAAGACTGCTTTTCTTACCTGAAATTGTTTTGTTTTTTCCTAAGCAAATGAGTGCCTCTCCTTGAGAACTGGGTGGGAGTCTCTGGGTGTGAGAGAACAGCAGGAAATGACCCTTTCTAAACAAAAGGACTCTTTAAGGCCTATCCTGAGTCTTTGTGTTTTGAGGAGGGGTTATGCAGAAAACCAGAGCTAGGAAATGAATCTCTGCATTAGCCATTCTAATGGGGGAAGGGAGAATGGAGAACATTCTCTCCTTGCACGCCCTCCCAAGTATCTAATGCCAGGGAACACTTACTGTGAGATCCAAAGAAGTGCAGAAAAGACCCTGGGAGCCTAGGTGGTGGTTCTTCAGGAGTGCGTGGCTTCAAGTCCCCTAAAGGAAAGAAAAAACCAGGTTGGGCAGAACGACACCCAATGTGATGTTCACCTTTAACCTGGGCTTCCAGAATTTGCTTGAAAAAGCTCATGATCAACAGAATGCAGAAATAAATACAAAATGAGGAAAGTATGAGAGGGATTTTGCAAGATCTATTTGTCATATATATCTTTTTGTTTTTGTTTTTTTTCTCAAGACGGAGTCTTGCTCTGTCACCCAGGCTGGAGTGCAGTAGTGTGATCTCAGCTCACTATAACTTCTGCCTCCTGGGTTCAAGTGATTCTCCTGACTCAGCCTCCTGATTAGCTGGAATTACAGGTGCCTGCCACCATGCCCGGCTGATTGTTTTTATTTTTAGTAGAGACGAGGTTTCACTGTGTTGGCCAGGCTGGTCTTGAACTCTGCTGATCTCAAGTGATCCGCCTGCCTCGGCCTCCCAAAGTGCTGAGATTACAGTGCCTGGCCTGTATATATGTTTATGATCGATTTATCATATATATCTTTATGATCTGTTTATCCATAGGTAGAGGTTAGAGTGTTATGATTTGCTAATAAATACCCAGTAAATAAATCAAAGATTTGAATTACTGTGTTAATGAGAAAATGAACTTTGAGGAATGCAAGTCCTTTTAAATGATCAGGTCCAGAGGGACTTTAAAATGAGACCACAGTCAGGTCCTACTCCCCTCTTGAGCTATATATTCACCTCTCTGTATTCACTGCTTGCTGTTGCTAGAAGTAGCTATAAATTAACTAATAATGCTGCACTGGACACTGTAACTCACTCTATAGTTTAACAATGTATATAGCCAATCACTAATCAGTATAATTTGTGTAAACCAATGAGAATTCCTGGCAAACAACTTTATATCAGCCCACTCCCTTGTCCCTGCTCCTTTTTTTTTTTTTTTTTGCCTTTAAAAAGCCACTTGTAACTGCTTTTTAATTGGAATGCATAAGCCCCTGGGTTGCAGTCTTCAAGCTTGGCCAAAATAAGCTCTACTTATATTAATTTTGCCTCACCTTTTATGTTGCTATCAACTTCTTTTCTCAATCTAAGCTGAAGAGGGAATTAATAATCATTGCTGTGCGAGGTAGTGGGTCTGTAATGAAGAAATGTTGAGCCTTGCCCTGCAGTGGAATGTTCCCTCCTCTCCTCACTTCAAAGTGACCATTCATTGTATCAGTATTTGTGCAAGGAGATCCCAAATTTAAAATGCTAGAAAAGGGGATAGGTCTTATCAAAATTATTTTGCCTTTATAAATTCTTGCTGTCTTGGAGCAATGAACTTCTCTGCTCTTCCAGGGACACTCCTGTTTTTTTTTTTTTCAAGGAATATAAATCTCACTAATAATTAGAAACACACGTCTTGTTGAAAATGGTTTTGTGGTTTACTTCGTTTTTAGAACATTTGAAAACGACAAACATCTTTTCTAAGAAAAAGCATTGTTTGTTACACCACCACTGTTTGTAGGCTTTTCATTGTAACTATATTTTTAGAAAGGCTGGCTCATGTGTTTGATGGGGACTCTGTGTTGAGGGTAAGGGGCTGGTTTATTTACTCCACAGCACCAGATGCTTTACAGAATTAAAGATAAGATTAAAGCTGCCACTCAGATCCCATTATGAAAGGGTTTTGTTTATATATTAAAGGCTTGGAAGACTCTTTATCTTAGATATGAAGCCAGCAATGCAGTATTCAAAAGAGATGTGATCATTGTAAGTTCCAGAGTTGATAGGGAAAAATTATTCTCACTGAAAATCCCAGTGTCTGAAGTGTTGGTAGGTTTTCTTTTTTTTTTCTTTTTTTTTTTTTTTGAGACAGTATCGCTGTGTTGCCCAGGCTGGAGTGCAGTGGTGTGATCTCGGCTCACTGCAGCCTCCGCCTCCCAGGTTGAAGTGATTGTCCTGCCTCAGCCTCCCAAGTAGCTGGGACTGCAGGCGCCTGCCACCGCACCCAGCTAATTTTTGTATTTTTAGTAGAGACGGGGTTTCACTATGTTGGTCAGGCTGGTCTTGAACTCCTGACCTCAGGTGATCCGCCTGCCTCAGCCTCCCAAAGTGCTAGGATTACACATGTGAGTCACTGCACCCAGCCGGTTTTCTTCATTTCTTTTTTCTTTTGAGATGAAGTCTTGCTCTATTGCCCAGGCTGGAATGCAGTGGTGCGATCTCAGCTCACTGCAACCTCCGCCTCCGGGGTTCGAGCTGTTCTCCTGCTTCAGCCTCCCGAGTAGCTGGAATTACAGGTACACGCCACCACACCTGGCTACTTTTTTTTTTTGTATTTTTAGTAGAGACGCGGTTTCGCCATGTTGGCCAGGCTGGTCTTGAACTCCTGACCTCAAGTGATTCTCCGTCCACTCCCCAGCCTCCCAAAGTAGCTGGGATTACAGGCCTGAGCCACCACGCCTGGCCCTCATTTTCTTAATACATCATTTAAACTCCTAATTTGAGAAAGGTTAACGTATAACGTTGTAACAATTGGTAAGATACCAATTTACAAATATGGAAATATATATTAGATTCATTTGGAGGAGGTTGTATATGGTATACGATTGGCATATGTTTTTCATTCTGAAAGTATCAGTTATTTTCCTGTTATTATCTGTGGTAACATTGCTTGTTTTTTTTGTTGTTGTTGAGACAGAGTCTCGCTCTGTCTCTGTCGCCCAGGCTGGAATGCAGTGGTATGATCCCAGCTCACTGCAACCTCTGTCTCCCGGGTTCAAGCGATTCTCCTGCCTCAGCCTCCCAAGTACCTGGGACTTACAGGCGCCTGCCACCACACTCAGCTAATTTTTGTATTTTTAGTAGAGATGGGGTTTCACTATGTTGACCAGGCTGGTCTCAAACTCCTGACCTCAGGTGATCTGCCTGCCTTGGCCTCCCAAAGCGCTGGGATTACAGGCATGAGCCACCACACCCGGCCACATTGCTTGTATTTTTAAAATAAAAGATTAAAAAAGAAAAGTGTGATCCATTCTCTAAGCTGCTTGCCACCATGCAATATTGAGTCAGAAGAATGGTTCTCAGATCCCGTGCATTAAGAACTATTTGTGTATCAGCCTTCTAAAGCATGGCGAATAAGACAACATACGCAGTGGAGACACGTTTCCTGGGATCATTTGTGGTCGAGATGGATTCAGGAATGTAGCGTGTCTGATTTTATTGGGTGCAGGAACTGCTTTTTCTATAGCTCTTGGTATTCATGTAACTGATGGTTAACCCCAAATCAAAGTGAAAATGTCCTGAGCAGGCATGTTTGTCCATTCTCTCCATGTTCTTAGATCATCAAAGGGAAGTTCTTGCCCTTTGCAAGACTAGCATCTGTTGCCATTTGGTCATAGTGCACCCAGCCTGCTGACTCTGTATCTTCAAAACAAAAACAAAAGCCAGTAGGGAGGGAGCAAAGACTCAAAAGTGCTGTGGGGCTTTGGAATACTGTGAGTTTCTGATTTTGGTAAATGTACATCCAAGATGTTTTAACCATTAAATGTCCCCTCTTCTACATTCCATTAAACCCCACTGGCCTTTAATCAACATGAGAATTTCTCTTGTAATATCTTGGGTTGTGATTAGACGGATAGAGGAATCCTATTGGTGTGAGCTTACCTTGAAGTCAATGAAAAAGTGTTATTTTTCCTTTTTTTTTTTTTTTTTTTTTTGAGACAGAGTTTCGCTCCTGTTGCCCAGGCTGGAGTTCAGTGGCACGATCTCAGCTCACTGCAACCTCCGCCTCCTGGATTCAAGCGATTCTCCTGCCTCAGCCTCCCGAGTAGCTGGGACTACAGACATGCACCACCACGCCCGGCTCATTTTGTATTTTTAGTAGAGGTGAGGTTTCTCCGTGTTGGTCAGGCAGGTCTCGAACTCCCGACCTCAGGTGATCTGCCTGCCTTGGCCTCCCAAAGAAAAGTGTTATTTTTCCATCTACTGGTACTTAAAGTCAGCCCAGGCAAAGCCTGGGTGCTGCTCAGTGCAGGAGACTCAGGCGTGGAAATGCAGCAGATTGACCTGGGTCCCTCCTCCCTTAAACCAGTACTCTGAAATCTCACCACGTAACTAACAAGCCCTGTACTTTCCAAATTGACATCACAATCATAGTCTTGCCGTGGCCAGGTGGGGTGGCTCATGCCTGTAATCCCAGCACTTTGGGAGGCTGAGGCGGGTGGATCACCTGAGGTCAGGAGTTTGAGACCAGCCTGGCCAACATGGATAAACCCCCATCTCTACTAAAAATACAAAATTAGCTGGGCATGGTGGCACGTGCCTGTAATCCCAGCTACCCGGGAGGCTGAGGCAGAAGAATCACTTGAACCCGGGAGGCGGAGGTTGCAGTTAGCCAAGATCGCGCCATCGTACTCCAGCCTGGGCAACAAGAACGAAATTCTGTCTCAAAACAAAAACAAAAACAAAAACAAAAACGCTTGCCGTAAATACCTTTCCTCCCTCCCCACGCCTAATGGATTAATTTTTAGTCTTATAAATTAGGAAATTTCTCATATAGGGCTGACATAAAGAGTAAGCGTTATTGTTCATGTAAAGCCCTGAAATAGTTTGCCTTTATCGAAAGCTCTAGGGTATTTTCGCAATTATTTTGTTGTGTTAAAAATATGGAGAACTACCTTCTACCCCAGGTGGTCCTCAGCAGAGCTTCTGTGTGGAGCAGAAAGTTTTCTCCTGGGATATTTTTGCCTATTTTAAGCCCTGTCTTATGCTTATTTCTGTTGGTCATTTCTCCCAGCATTTCTCAAAGGAAAGATAGTAACGTATTGCTTCTATTTTAGGGATTAAAGAATGATAAATGTATGGGGTTTTTAATTTTATATTTTAAATTGAAGCTACCAAGATTCATAAGCCATTTGTTCATCTAATTGGATCACATTGTGTTCAAGTTTCTTTTCACTGTTTTTGTTTTTTAAAATACAATCTTAAATAGTTACCCTTTCTCTCCTCACCATCATTAGAAAACACAAGTAAGCAAAAAAAAAAAAAAAAGATTAAAAAAGGAAACAATTCTATAATTCCCTCACAACCAGTGTTAATACCTCACTGCGTATCTTTTACATGTTCTTTTCTCTGTGTGTGCACACATGGCATCTATCATCTGTTTGAACAAAAATGAGATCATAATAGGTTTTCCATTTATTTCACTTAACAGTATTTTATGAACATCTTTGCATGCCATTGGATTCATTTCTCTCTCTCTGTTTTTTGAGTCGTCGTCTTGCTGTGTCCTCCAGGCTGGAGTTCAGTGGCACAATGCGATCATAGCTCACTGCAGCTTTGAACTCTTGGCCTCAAGCCATCCTCACACCTCAGCCTCCCAAGTAGCTGGGACTACAAGTGTGCACCACTATGCCTGGCTAAGTTTTTCTATTTTTTCTGTAGAGACAGGGTCTCATTATATTGCCCAGGCTGGTCTCGAACTCTTGGCCTCAGGTGATCCTCCCGCCTCAACCTCCCAAAGTGTTAGGATTACAGGCGTGAGTCACTGCATCTGGCCAATTGGATACATTCCTGCAGCCAAATTTTAAATTCTTCCTATTGTGCTATAGTATGGATGTGCCTTAATGTATTTGACCCACCCCTTATTATTGGGCTTATTATTGAACTTATTTCCAGCTTAAGTGATAGAAACAGTGCTGTACATCCTCCTAGCTAAATCTGTGTATACACCCTTAGTGATTTCCTTAGCTTCAACTCTTAGAAGTGGAATTTCTGGGTCAAAGGGCATGCATTCTTTTAAAGATATTTGATGTTTATTGCCAAATCTTCTCTAGAACACTATTTCCACTAAGAAAATCAGCAGGCCCATTCCTTGCATCCCCTGCCCCTGCCATTTAAAAATGTCCAAAGATTGTTCCCTCACTGTGGAGTTTTTCATATTTGTGTCCCATCCGTGACTCAGAATTAATATTCCAGCCTCATCTGTATAACACCTGGATGTTATATAGTGACTTTTTTTTAACCTCATTTGAAGACATATCCCAGTTGTGTTTCTTATACTTCACTGGATACAAAAATGCTTAGCAGATAATTTCTGGGGGTGTCATTCTTGAGTTTATCGGACACCGTGAAGTGTGTTGCTTTTTGTGTGTTAGGTGCTTGCTATATTTTTCTGGCTATTAATGTCTGACGATGAGGCCAGTATTTTAGGTGTTGTGAGTGCAAGTACAGAATTTGAGTCAGCTCTAACATTTGTCAGGTAAAGCAATAACACTGCCAATTAAAACTTTATTGTAAGATGCATCCTGATTTCATAGATGTTACAGTGTGGAAACATGTCTCAGAATCAGTGGATATGTTATTCTCTCATCTACTTTTCTGGTCACATGGTTGGTTTGCTCTTGAGATGAGAACAGAGACACACTGGTCAGTTTGACATAAGTTTTGGTGGACAGTGAGCCAAGTATATCCTTGGAAAGAATTTTATAATTACAGTTGAATCAACAATGCTTCAATGCCTTTTTTTTTTTCTTTTTTTTTGGAAATAGGGTCTCTGTCTGTCACCCAGGATGTGGAGTGCAGTAGCATGATCATAGCTTACTATAACCTCAACCTCTTGGGCTCAAGCGATCCTCCCACCTCAACCTCCTGAGTAGCTGGGACCACAGAGCTGTGTTGCCACACCCTGCTAATTTTTTTTTTTTTTGAGACAAAGTTTCACCCTTGTCACCCAGGATGGAGTGCAATGGCACCATCTTGGCTCACTGCAACCTCCACCTCCCGGGTTCAAGTGATTCTCCTGCCTCAAGCCTCCGGAGGAGCTGGGATTACAGGCGCCTGCCACCATGCCCGGCTAATTGGTCTATTTTTAGTAGAGATGGGGTTTCATCATGTTGGCCAGGCTAATCTCGAACTCCTGACCTCAGGTGATCCGTCTGCCTCAGCCTCCTAAAGTTCTGGGATTACAGGCGTGAGCCACCACTCCTGGTTCACCCTGCTAATTTTTAAATTTTTGTGTAGAGATGGGGTCGCACTGCATTTCCCAGACTTTTCTCTAACTCCTGGCCTCAAGCAATCCTCCTGCCTTGGCGTCCCAAAGTGTTGAGACTTACAGGCATGAGCTACCATGGTTTGCCCCACAATGCCTTTTATTAGGTACAGACCATGGTGTATATCGCCTTGTGAAAATGATTCTTTTCCTCCCTCTTCAAATTGAGGATGCTGCCTTGAAGCTCCAGCATGTTGCAGCCCCTTAAGTATTTCTCAGGATGAAGGAGAGACCATTCAGGGCAATTGCATCTTCCCTGGAGGGGCTGTTTTCACTGTGATGCCCGCAACATACCAAGAGTGGAATCCTGTCTGAGGAGTGCAGCTCCGGTCTCACCATGTGGGCAGGGCAATCACCATTAACCCCAGCCCACAGGCCTTCTTAATTGTTAACAGACATTCTGAGAAGTGCATGCCCTCCACAAAGCCTACACACATGTGTTCGAGTGTGACTCTAGGAAATGAGCAGATGTAATGGAAACCTCAGTATTGACTCATCCCGATTGTTATATATGAGTGGAATTTGCATCTCATTTAGTGTTTATTTCAGTAGATTCCAGTTGAGGTCATGGAGTGCTAAATTTATATGCATCATAGCACCTTTCTCAAAGGAATTGGGAGCTCTTTTGCAAAACAAAAGATGTCTTCTTTTCCCTTAGCCCTTGGTTTTGTTTGGCAGATGGTGTAGGTGAAGAGAACATTAGTTGTGGAAGAGGTATGTATGACTCCCTTGGGTACAGTCATTGATATTTGTTAAAGACAGCCTGAGAGTCTGTTGTCTTGGCCTTTCTGGGGGATGAAGAAGTTGTTACTGAGAAGCAGTTTTCCTGCCTTCTTGGAAAGACCTCAGTCAACACAGGAAACAATGGGAGAATAACATTTGATCCTACCTAAATGGACAACATTGTGTAATATGGGCGGAGAGGGCTTAGAAATTCAGAAAGAGATCAGTGTGGACCAGAATAAAAGGCTTTGAGAAAGAAAGGTGGACCTTGAGGAACTGGTAATATTTAAATAGAAATGGGTACTGGCTTAGGAGAGTTTCACCATCATAAAAGTTTGGGGCCTGGCATGGTGGCCCATGTCTGCAATTCCGGCACTTTGGGAGGTGGAGGCTGGGAGGCCGAGGTGGGAGGATTGCTTGAGTCTAGAAATTCGAGACCAGCCTGGGGAACATGATGAGACACTGCCTCTATAAAAAGTAAAAAAAAAAAAAAAAAAAAAGATTAGCAGGCATGGTGGTGTGTGCCTGTAGTCCCATCTACTTGGGAGGCTGAGGTGGGAAGATTGCTTGAGCCCAGGAGGTCGAGGCTGCAGTGAACTGTGGTCTTGTCATTGCACTCCATCCTGGACAAGAGAGTGAGGCCCTATCTCTTTTAAAAAAAAAAAAAAAAAAAAGTTTTGGAAGTAAGAATGAATGTAGCACATTTACAGGAGCAGGGAAAAGCTGTATCTATTACTTTTTAATGAATGAATTGTATGTATTTGGGGATATATTAAAGAATTTTTAGGCTGGGCGTGGTCCTCATGCTTGTAATCCCAGCACTTTGGGAGACCAAGTGGGAGGATTGCTTGAGCCCAGGAGTTCGAGACTAGCCTGGGCAACATGGTAAAACCTTGTCTCTACAAAAAATACAGAAATTAGCCAGGCCTGGCGGCGTGCACCTGTAGTCTCAGCTATCAGGAGGCTGAGATGGGAGGATCAGGATCACTTGAGCCCAGGAGGTCAGAGCCACAGTGAGCCATGATTGCGCCACTGCCCTCAGCCTGGGCTGCAGAACAGGATCCTGTCTTAAAAAAAAAAAATTGTTATTATTTGTCAATGTCATTGGTTTTCCAATCAGGCCTGTTCCACAGGTGATTGATACACAACCTGGGAAGAAGTTAGACACCTGCAGAACCCAATGCCAGTTAAGTCTTTTTTTTTTTTTTTTTTTAAACTCATTTGGGTCCTAGTATGCAAGGCCATGCAAGCTGTTTAGATGACCATACTGGAAAAATAAGGAATATTTTTCTTTGGTTATTCTTCCCTAAGTTTCTTTTTTATTCCAGCAGGGTGCAGTGGTGCAATCTCGGCTTACTGCAACCTCTGCCTCCTGGGCTCAAGCAATTTTCCCATCTCAGTCTCCTGAATAGCAGTCACGTGCCACCACACCCAGCTAATTTTTGTATTTTTAGTAGAGACAGAGTTTCACCATGTTGCCCAGGCTGGTCTTGAACTCCTGAGCTCAAGTGATCATCCCCACTCAGCCTCTCAATGTACTGGGGTTACAAGCGTGAGTCACCACGCCCAGCCTTAACTTTCTGGATGAAGCCATTTACTCCATAACTTTGCTTATTTTTTCCTGTTTTTTGTTTTTTTTTTTCTTTTTGTTTTTTTTTTGGGTGGGGGGGTGCTTCTTCATTCTGCCTCTTCAGAACAGCATGACTGTTTATCAGCCGTGGTGACTCTTAGCCCAATGTATAATTCCTAGATGATCTAGTCATCCCAAAGGTACTCAACTCCTACTTGGATTAGGCCCTGCTGGTGCAATGAGCAGCAAACAGACATTGTCCTTGTTCATCCTGGAAGTTACAGTGTAGTTGAAAGTGTATATTAAACAGTGAAGCACCGATAAATAGAGAATAACTGTAATAAGTGCTAGGGAGGAAGAGCGCAGTTGATGTGAGATTGATAGTTGATGGTCACAAGGGGACCTTTTTGACTTTGTTCTAGGTACTATTCACATCACTGGGTGTGAACTCAGTCATCTTCACTGTGCTGTGGGGTAGCTATCCACCACTGCTCCTCCCAGTAGAGGAGGAACTGAGGCTCAGTGAGTTGAATAACTTGCCCTGGGTCACAGCTAATAAATAACAGCCTGGATTTGAACCTGGTCAGTTAGTTCAAAATCCATCATCTTTCACTAGACCTCATTGCCAGTTTAGAGGTACTAGAGAAGTTTGCTTCAAGGGAACAAGAGTTCTCTTCCTTAGGCCCATATCTCTCAGGATCCTGCCTCCCTAAACAGAAGAGCTTGCAACACAGGACTTGTGTAAGCTCTCAGCAATCAGT